>NC_000002.12:153550224-153853254 GCF_000001405.40 Homo sapiens
TAAATGAATGGTCACTTTTTTTTTTTTTTGGAGACAGTCTCACTCTGTCTTCCAGGCTGGAGTGTAGTGGCACCATCTCGGCTCACTGCAACCTCTGCCTCCCGAGTTCAAGTGATTCTCATGCCTCAGCCTGCTGAGTAGCTGGGATTACAGATGTGCACCGCCACACTCAGCTATTTTTTTTTTTAAGTAGAGATGAGGTTTTGCCATGTTGGCCAGGCTGGTCTCAAACTCCTGGCTTCAAGTGACTCAACTGCTTTGGCCTCCCAAAGTGCTGGGATTATAGACTAGAGCCACCGTGCCCAGGCTTAACTTTTGATTTTGCTGTCACAGTCTGCAGAGCACTGTTCCCTGGCCTTTGTGGCATTCTGTAGGTATCACTGTTCATCACTATTGCTATCACCAACAACAGTCACATCTTGAGTGCCTACTAAGTATAATGAACCATATTTTACATCCAGACTAATCCTCAAATACTTGCCTGTTTGGTAATGCTTAACTTTATACAATAGTGACAATTAGCATTGTATTTGAATATATCTAACAATAATTATTAGATAAGTAAGTTAAATAGTGATTCATTTCATTTAATATTTATTGAATGACTAATAGGTCTTAGCAATTTTCTAGACATTGGTGACACAGCAAAAAATTCCTGCCTTTATAGAGTATATGTTTTAGTGGAGGGACAATAAAAAACTATAGATTATGAGGTATGTCCAACAGTGATAAATACTATGGAGAAAAATTAAGCTGAGGGTGGCTAGAGAGGGCTCTTGGGTAGGATATTACTATTTAAATAGAGAAGTCAAATTGTAATACAAGTCCAAAAAAAAATCATTGACCAACACAGTGGGGGTCTCTGGAGAAAATATTGCCCTTTAAAGCTGTCCTACATCAGGAAAAATTCACTGGGAGTTTACACACCTGCCTTGTTTAGTCATTGGATGTAGGTTATCGCCTAGGGGGAGGTGGCTTTTATGCTTCAGGAAAATCCTGAGAAAGTGACAGTGTGAGACTCTGCTGACCACACTCCTACGTTTGGGCAGCAATTTCTCATGACAGAGGATCTGGATGGGGTATCTTCATGCCTACTACAGGAACCAATAGAGCATTTGGAGCTGAGGAGTGACATGATATGACGGATATTAGACAATCACTCTGGTTGCCGTGTGGTGAATAGACCGTATGGAGACCAGGGCAGAATTGAGGAAGACAAAGGCAACATTAATGGAGACAAAGGCAGAATGAAGGAGACAGGGTAGAAGACTAATACAGAGAAGAGATGATTATGGCTTGGACCAAAGTAGTGGCAATGGTGATAGTAGAAAAGACAAATTCTGACTATTTTAAAGCTTGGACTAACAATTCTTATTGATGAATGTTGGATGTGAGAATAGGAGAGCAATAAATAATAACTTTAAATTTTGTGGGGCTGAGCAACTAAAAATGTTACCATTACTGAGATAAGGAAGTTTGTGAGAGGGATATCAGGAATTTGGTTTGAGATCTGTAAAGTTGTGATGTCCATTCTATGTCAGAGCATAGATGTTTAGTAGATAGTTGGATGTACAAATCTGTAGGTCAGGGCATAATTCTAGGCTACAGATGTAAGTTTTAGAGTCATTAACATACAGATGACAAAAACCTGTATTGACTGAATCATTCAGTTAGTGTAGACAGGAAAGAAGAGTGAACTGAGCCCTGGGACTGCACCATAAGGATTGTGGCGTGAGTAAAATAGCAGTGGAACCTCAAAAGGAGAGGTTGGTATGGTAAGAAAAAAATCTAGGAGAGCTGGGTGTCCTGAGGGCCAAACAAATTGTTTCAAGGAGGAGAAATGCTCAAATGTCACATGTTTCTGGTAGGTTGAGATGATGATCAAAAATTGACCCCTGGATTTAGCAACATGCAGACTATTTGTGGACACTGAAAAGAGAAGTTTCAGTGGAGTGGTGGGCAAATACCTGTTTAAATAGATCGAGGAAAGACTGGGGTTAAAAGGCTTTAGAATAGTGAATGAGACAACTCTTCTGAGGAGATTTGCTATAAAGGGTAAAATAGAAACAGAGCATTAAGGAAGGGAAAAGTGGTTTTAAAAATATGTTGATGAGAATGATCCAGGAGAGAGGAACAAACTGAAGATTCAGAAGAAAGGACAATTGCAAGGACGATGTTCTTGAGCAGGGGAGGAGAGATTGAATCAAATGCACAATGTGGACATAGAGAGTAGCCCTGCTAATTCCACCTTAATGTGAGGAGGGTAGTTAGGGTTTACAAACATAGATGCAGGTAGGTGAGTAATTGTGGAATGAGACTGGTGAAGGTTGTCTTCTGCCTGCTTCTTCTTCTTTTTTTTTTTTTTTTTTTTTTTTTGGCAGCACAACTGGAATCAAAGGCATCATTGACAATTAGGAAAATGGGAAGGATGTGTTGGCAGTTGATAAAAGAAGCAATGGTATGAAATTGTTTTCTAGAACAGTGGTCCCCAACCTTTTTGGTACCAGGGACCAGTTTCATGGAAGACAAGTTTTTTTAAAAGATGGTGGTTGGGGGGATGGTTTTTGGATGAAACTGTTCCATCTCAGATCATCAGGCATTAGATTCTCATAAGGAGTGTGCAACCTAGATCCTTTGCATACACAGTTCACAACAGGGTTCCCCCTCCTATGAGAACCTAATGCTGCCGCTGATCTGACAGGAGGTGGAAGCTCAGGCAGTAATGCTTGCTTACCTGCAGCTCACCTCCTGCTGTGTGACCCTCTTCCTAACAGACCACAGACTGGTATCAGTATGTGGCTGGTGGGTTGGGGACCCCTTTTCTAGAACATAGAGAAACTATGGTTGAATAATTGTTGAACTGGAGTTATTAAAAAGAGTGAACTAGAAAAATAAACAGTGGTCACTGAGTAGGATGTCAGAAACTAAGATATGGAGTGGATATGTTTATTGGTAATACCAAATCTAGCTCATCATGAAATTAGATGTTGTATGAAATTAGATGTTGGCCACATGTGTAATCCCAGTCCTTTGGGAGGTTGAGGCATGTGGGTTATTTGAGCCTAGGAGTTTGCGACCAGCCTGGGCAACATGGTGAAACTCCATCTCTACAGAAAAAAAAAATAGCTGAGTGTGGTGGCCTGTGCCTGTGCCTGTAGTCCCAGCTACTCAGGAGGCTGAGGTGGGAGGATTGCTTGAGCCTGGGAGGTCAAGGCTGCAGTGAGCCATGATTGCACCACTGCACTCCAGCCTGGATGACAGAGTGAGACGCTGTCTCAAAACAACATGGTTGTAAGATTATTGGATGAGAGCAGGTCAATGAATGATTGAACCATTGGATCCATGTTAAAATCATCAAGAAATATGATAAGAATGTTTCCAAGAAAGAATATTCCTATGGTAGAGTTTAAAGATATAAAATTAAAAACTGTGGGTTTTAGAGAGTAGAAAGTGAAAAGGTCTAGAAATGGTGATCAGGAGCCAGCATGACAACTCCCCATTTCCAGGAACGAGGGAACCAGGGCTGTGAGGATGAAGAAGCAACACTTGAGGGGGCTCAGGTGAAGCAGTCTTCAGGAGAGAAATAGACTTCAGACAGAGCGGGCAGCTGAAGGGAGTTTCCAAAGATGCTGAGGCTACAGGGGCTCTGCGGAGGATGGACTGCAAATTCCTCAGACAGCTTTGAGTCTCCACATGCTTCTCATGTTGGAGGGTGGTTGTGTGGATGTGAGTCCTGGGGATGAGGTTCCCCTGAGTATCTTGAGTGTCTTGTGTTTGGCACAAACTGGGATACAGGAATAAAGATAACTAGCTGCTGTATATTGTAAGAACAAGTTTGCCCCAGCTCTTTGGGAGGCCAAGGTGGGCGGATCACGAGGTCAGGAGATTGAGACCATCCTGGCTAACACGGTGAAACCCTGTCTCTACTAAAAATACAAAAAAAAAAAAAAAAATTAGCCAGGCGTGGTGATGGGTGCCTGTAGTCCCAGCTACTGGGGAGGCTGAGGCAGGAGGCAGGAGAATGGCGTGAACCCAGGAGGTGGAGCTTGCAGTGAGCCGAGATCGTGCCACTGCACTCCAGCCTGGGTGACAGAGTGAGACTCTGTGTCAAAAACAAAAAAAAAAAGTTTGCAAATTCTAAGTTTTGTGATAAAAGGAAACAAAACTTGGTCAGTTGCCTTAGATAGGGCATTTGGTATTATACAAATGAGAAAGCCAGTAGTGACAGAAATATTTAGGTCTGATTGTGTCATGCAGTTTCATCTCTCCTTAACTCAGCATTTTTCTGATGAATTTTTTCAAAGTATATTTGAAAGAAATGCATCTGGAATTTAAACCAGTTTCTTAAGTTGTAGACCAAGCACTGTTGAACCAAATATTAGTGTCTCAGAAAAGGTCTGTTACCAAATCCAGAAACCCGGGATGCTGTATATGTGTGTGTGTGTGTGTGTGTGTGTGTCTGTGTACGCGCACATAAGTGTGCCACACAAACTTTGTACCTTCATTGTCTTTTTTGTGTGCCTTATTGGAGAACTGAAGTGACAATCATTTTTCACCCTATGTTAATGCCTAATTTAAGTCGGATCCTCCTAATATACTCACATACGCCCTTTGCTTTCTTTTTATATCCTTTTAAAAATATATGAAAATTATTGTATGTGTACGAGAGAAAATTTTTTTAGTGAAATATCTGCTTTGTTATTAGAATGCAAACTCTGTTAGAGCAGGTAGATAGAGATTGGTCTGTATCCCCAGGCCTAATATATCACCTAGCACATAATAGACACTCAAAACTATTTTGTTGGATAAATGAAAAAAATTTAACTCTGTAGTACCTTTTAAAAAATAATTCATTTTATGTTTCTATAACTTGTATGAGTGGAGTAGAGAGAAACCTTCATTGTCTCCCCCAGTAATTTAGTATAATTTTGGTTAGAATTTTGTTAATGTGAAACAGAAGCTTTACTTTTTTTTTTTTTTTTTTTTTTGAGACGGAGTCTTGCTCTGTCACCCAGGCTGGAGTGCAGTGGCGCGATCTCGGCTCACTGCAAGCTCCGCCTCCCGGGTTCACGCCATTCTCCTGCCTCAGCCTCCCGAGTAGCTGGGACTACAGGCGCCCGCTACCACGCCCGGCTAATTTTTTGTATTTTTAGTAGAGACGGGGTTTCACCGTGTTAGCCAGGATGGTCTCGATCTCCTGACCTCGTGATCCGCCCGCCTCGGCCTCCCAAAGTGCTGGGATTACAGGCGTGAGCCACCGCGCCCGGCCCAGAAGCTTTACTTTTAAATAAAAATAAAAATAGTTATAAAAGCCTGGATAAGTGTTATGGGCTAGGCATTATTCTAACAACTTGTAGTGATTAATTTCATTCTCACTACTATCTTGTGAGGTGGTTACCCTTATCCCATTTTACACATGGGGAGACTGAAACATAAAATATTAAGAGTCATGCACTTGAAATGTGGCAGAGTTGAACATCTAAATCCAGCCTGTCTGGACCCAGAGTCCATGCTCTTAATTGCTGTGTTACACTGCTTCTGAATGATTGTTTGTAAGATCCGATCTTTTTAAAATTTGTAACTTAGCCTATTAAAGTATTGAAAGTAAAGGAGAAAGATGACATTACAGAAGATTATAAGAAGATTATTAGCAAATAACTTATTTCAGCTTTCATTAATTTGATACATTAAACACAGCATCATGCTTTTGCCTAAAGCTCGGGAAAAAATGTGTTATGAAAGGACAAATGCCACTATAAATTTTTATTATAATGGTTGCAAATGGATGATCATTTTTTTCTCATCCTAATATCTCTTTCTGCAATTATAGCAAAATAACTTTTTTCAGTCAAGTGCTTTCAGGCATCTTTAATATTTTTCATTCATTTTTCTTTTTTCATAGATGGTGATGCTTGAAATTACATAATGACTTCCACTTTTTCAAAATTAGACCTTGTAGGAATAAAGAATTACATATGATAGCCCAGTGAAATAATTTGTATCATATTTAAAGGTTGGGCTATTTTAAAAGAAAAAAAATGCCAGTAAGATGCAGTTTAAATTAAGAGAAATTTTGTGTATCATTTATGTGTTTATTTCCACTTCAGTCTATAAACTTTACATCCTTTACACATCAGAAAAAAATCTTTAAAATTAAAAACTGATATTCTATGTTCAGAGACTATTAAACATATCTTTAAGTAAATTTTATTTTCATATACTTTTATAAATTTTCTGTTGACGATATAATACTTTAGAAAAAGATTTCCTTACTAATTCTTAGCACATCAGCTATTTCCACAATTTGCTGGCTTCATCTTTTGCTACCCAAAGGTACAACACGTAATGAAATTGTTCGACTATCCTAAATTATCTTCTTTTTCAAGCCATATTCTGAAAACTCAAATGTCTTCAAAGCCAGCAGGTAATACAAGTGTGTTAAGTAGCCTGGTAGAAAAGAGGGAAAACTGTTTAACTGGAAAATGCAGGCCATACCTAAATATTCTTAAATTCAAAACATTTGTCTGGTCACAAACACTCAACCTTCCCTGTTAGCTTAATGCAGACTGAGGCCCTGTTCTCTGCTGGATTCAACCTGAAGTCCTTTAGGAAATCCCATCTACTTCACTGGCCTTATATCATCTGGCTAAGGACTTCCATATTTCTATAACTTTCTTTGTGCTACATATTTTTACATTTATCTGCCCACCTAACATTTCCAATAAGATATCCTAAATTCAGTGTATCTTAGGCCAAGCATCTCTTTCAAATCTAGTTTACTTTGAATGTTCCCCATCCCCACAAATTTGACCCCCCCTTCCATTAAATTACAGTCATGCACCACATAATGACATTTCCATCATCAGCAGCAGAGCATATATATGATGGTGGTCCCATAAGATTGTAATACTGCATTTTTTGCTCTACCTTTTCTATGTTTAGATGTGTTTAGATACACAGATACTTAGCATTGTGCTACAGCTGCCTGCAGTATTCAGTACAGTAACATGTTGTACAGATTTGTAGCCTAGGAGCAGCAGGCCATACCATAAAGCCTAGGTGTGTATTAGGCTATGCCATCTAAGTTTGTGTAACTATACTCTATGATGTTTTCACAAATACGAAATCACCTAACAGTGCATCTGTTTTTAAAGTGACTCATGACTGTACACAAACAAGAAATAAAGGGGTTTCCCTGACAACTCCCTCTGCCTTACCTCACTTCCATCCTCGCCTGTCCCTTAGCTAATCCCTTGCCAAGGCTATGAGTTACAGCTGAACACATCTCAACCTTCTATTCACCTGAGGGTTACCAACATCGTTTCATTTACTATCATTTCTTGCTTGAACATTTGCAACACCAGTTTGCAATCTTTATATCTATTCAGCCTTCCCTACAATCTATTCTTCATACTAAAATAGTGTTCTAAAGACATAAATCATGTCACTCCTCGGCTTAACATCCTTCAATTGGCTGTCAATGGTTTCAATTGCTCTTATAATAAAATTTGAACACCTTAACGTGGCTACAGAGTCTTTAAGATCAGGTCTGCCTCATCCTCAAACTTCATCTAACTTCATTCTCCCTCTGGTCTTTGTACTTATAACCTATCTGACCTCCTTTAGCTGCACCTTTATTCCCACAGTCCCCTCGGCCTGGGAAATTTTTGCTCTACTAACTGTGCCCAGAGTATACCTTTTCTTCCTTCAAGCATCAGATAAGTGGCATTCCCTAGGAAAGCCTTTCTTGACCCTGCCAGACTAGAGAAAGGATTCCTTTGATACAGACACAGGAAGAAACTGTTTCTTTCCTTATCACTATTTATAATTAGTGTTCATCACTGTGACTATGTGGTGAAAGTCTGTCTCCTTCTCTTGACTGGAAGCTCCTTTACAGCAGAGTTTTCTGCTTTTGCTCAGAGATTACATGCATCATAAATATTTTTAAGTGAACAGATGTTTAAATACATTAGAGTATAACCTAACCCTCGGTGCAAACAGCACTCTTCAATTTAGAAAGAGGACAGATACCTAACAAGCATCTGCACTCCTTGGGCATTTACTGTTTGGGGATGCTGTTATCTGTTATTTTCCACTGCTCTGCTTGAGCCTCAGGCCACTCCATATATCCTTAGTGGGCAGGTGTAACTGGGGTTCACTGAGAACAGAGGCAGCAGCAGCTTAAGAAGAGTGGTTCTGTCCTTTGAAATAGCCCCTCCAGCGGTATCCCACATATCTTAGCGATGGCATCATAAATCTCTTTAGCTGATCTCCTCAGTGTGGTTTATAACAGTGGTTTGTACTTTAAGTAGCAAATTGAGCTTTGCTGTCTTCTCCTTTCCAAGGTCCTTTGTAGGCTGACATAAGTCCTTATGTAGTGCTTTTTTTTTTTTAACCAATAATGCTGAGACAGGTGCATGAGTGATCAATTGCTTTCATTCACATAATGACCCTCCCCAAAGGGGAAAATAATTCTACAGCATTCCTGGACATGGATAACTTCCGTTAAAATTTATTGGTTGCATGTTTCTCTGAAAGTGTTCAAATTATGTGCTATAGCTCCACTGAAAAATCATAAACTCTTATGGGTCAGATAATAGTATCTTTCACTTTGTTTCTTTCCAACAGAAAAATGCTGGTTTGTGGACACTGGAAATTTCATAAATACCACTCTCTGGAAAGCCAGGAATAATGGTCAATTGCAAAAATAAGATATGGCAGTTCTTCTGGAAAGTTGGATGCTTGGTGCATAGAAATGTTATTATATTTTGGTGGTGATAAAAATGAATATTAGCAACTCTGAAAATCCAACATGTGTTACCTTGTTTTTTGAGAGTATATTGAAGAAAATTCTAAAGATTATGTTATTTCAGCCATATATACATGAGTATGGACCGCTAATAAAAACATTTATTTTTGTAATATAAGCATCATTATAATAGCTAACAAAATTAACAATGATTACCTAATTCTATGTAATAGCCAGTTTGTATTGAAAGTTTTCTAATTGTCTGAAAGAGTCTTTTTGTAGTTGATTTGAATACGGATTGAAAGAAGATAACACATTGCATTTGACATTTATGTCTCTTAAGTGGCTTTACGTCCTAACGGTCTCCCCTTCTATTTTTCACCATGCCACAGTTTAGTTGAAGAAATTGAATCTTGTAGTCTGTCGAATGTCAGTACCCTGGCTTTGGCTTATTATTTCCTTATAGTATCATTTACCTTGTCTCTCTATCCCCTATATTTCTTGAATAATTATAGTAATGTATATACAGAGAGGACTGGACTGATATCCAGTTCTTTGATAAGACATCCTGATTGTGCTCTGTACTTCCTAGTGTATCACATCAGGAGGCACATAATGTCTGCTTGTTTCACTTCTGTTAATTCTTCAATTGACCAGTGCATTTAAGTAGTATCAGCCTGATCCTTCCATTAAGAGATTTTTATTAACTTTTGACCTGATTAGTTTAAAGTTTATTGGTTATTATCCCTATCTGTTATTTAGAGTTTGGAAAATAGCGATATTCTAATTTCACCATTTTATCTGTACTTGTTTGCTGTAGCTCTTCTGTCAAGAGGAGTTTTATTTGGCTAACTTTTTCAGTAAGAAAAATAGGGTAAGTTTTTTGGATTTTTCTCTTTTCTTAAAAAGATTTGTTTTAAAGATAACAAGTTATATTCTAGCACACGTTAATAGTATCTAATCAATTTTAAAAATATTATTTCTTACAGGTTGTACTATATCAGATGTTTCAACGTATTGCAGTCTCTATGCTCTTTGAAGCTCAATTTCATATAATTTAGGCCAGTAGGAGTCCCATCAAATTGGTTCCTATAGCCTTTAGACATGGTATCCTAGGATCATCTTTTGCATTTTGCACCCCAGACCTGGTATCAGTCATGTCTCCATAAAGTACTGTCCCTTTAGTGGGAAATAATATTTAGAGACCATGATCTGGGCTCTAATGGTATTCTTTACTAGTGGGTTAACATTGTTTCTAGGCCTTTCCAATGGAACAGAGCTAGGAAATATATACATTTTTCAAGGAAAAGTTTTCAAAGGTACATACATGTTTTATATTTGAATGTAAAATTACCAGGTTAATACTTCTATGATTTTTTCTTGTACCTGATTACTTAACGCTAGACGAATAGCGATAGGAATGAACGTGTTTTCCTCTCCCAGGTTAAAAAAAAACATTCATCCATGTTTTCTACTTCTTTTAGAATTTTAATTTTTTATACTTAAATCTTAGACTCATTTGCAATTTATCCTAGTACATGATAGAAAGAATGTATCAAATTCTATACATTTCCACATGCTTATCCAGTTGTTCTGATATAATTTATTAAAGATTTATTTCTCCACTGATTTGAGATGACACTTTTATCATGACTAAATTCTATACATATTTGAGCCTATTTTTGATATTCTACTTATTTTTACTGCTCTTTCAATTTATTAAATAATACTATGCTTTTAATTAGGGAGGCCTTAAAGTATTTTAACATGAGATATGATAGGTCCCCCACCACATGCTCTTCAGCCTTTCTCTTGTTAATTTTTTCATACTTATTCTTTTTTAAAAACTTCATCACCAACTTGTCTTGTTCCAAGGAAGAACATTATGGAATTTTATTTGAATTAATTACATTTACAAAATTAACTTAGAATTAACACCTTTATGTAGTTGAATATTCATATTCAAGCAATACATTTCCATTTGGTCACATATCCTTTGCATCTTTAATGAGTCTTTATATTTTTCCTTATATCTCTTATTGTAGTTTTTAAAGTTTATTGCTGTATAATTTATTACTCTTATTTTATTGTAAATAAAACCTTCCCTTCCATTATATCTTGCTAAGTCTATTGATTTGGAGATGTTAATTATATTTCTAGCCAGTTTACTAAACTCTTATTGTTTGCAGTAGACTTTTATTGATTTTTTTTTGGTTTTCCAGTTATAATATCTCTGCATATGAAGATAATCTTCTTTTCAAATTCTTATGCTATATATATATGAATATGACATATATAAATATACAGGTTGACTATCCCTTTTATGAAATGCTTGGGACCAGAGGTGTTTCAGATTTCATTTTTTTCTGGTTTTAGAATAATGATGTATAGATAATGAGATATCTTGGGAATGGGACCTGAATCTAAACATAAAATCCATTTATGTTTTATGTGCACCTTATACACATAGCCTGAAGGTAATTTTATAAAATATTTCTAATTATTTTGGGCACAAAATAATGTTTTTGATGTGTTTTGACTGTGACCCATCACATGAGGTCAGGTGTGGAATTTCCCACTTGTGGTGTCACATTGGTGCTCAAAAATTTCAGATTTTAGAGCATTTTGCATTTCAGATTTTTGGATTCTGGATTAGAGATGTTCAACCTGTGTGTGTGTGTGTGTGTGTGTGTGTGGTGTGTATTAATCACCACTTAGGTTAGGTAAGACCTCCAATTTATTGTGAAATACAATTGAAGATGCTAGGTACATTTGTTTTGTTATAGACTTTAAAGGTAATGGTGCTAGGGTGTCCTCATTAATTAACTGTTGACTTTTGAATTGGAGTAATACAAATTTTATTTAAAAAATTTCTATTTGTAAATGTTTTCTTCCTAGATCTATTAATGTGTATTTTAGCAACAAATTTCCAAATTTAGAATCAAACATACAGAATAATAATTTCAGCAATTATTCAAGAAACTCTTATTTCTTCTTTACCAATTTTTAGTGTTTCACACTTTTGCCCCTTTTCTTTACCATTCTCCCTCCCTCTCCTCTCTCTCTCTTTCTCTCTCTCTCTCTCTCTGTGTGTGTGTGTGTGTGTGTGTGTGTGTGTGTGTGTGTGTGTGTGGTGTAGGCATGTGGGTGCGTCTGTGGGGAGGCATATAAATATTATTTTTTTCTGAACCATTTGTGAGTAAATTGGAGGTATTATGCTCATTTACTAAAAAAATAGTCCAGTGTGTACTGAAGGCCTGTGCTTTTTTCCTAATAGTTACTTTAAGATACACTTAGTTCGTTTTTTTATCAGTACTATCAACCATCCTTATAATGTAACAATAATAAAATTAGCTAGTAACATTTTCATTCTTTTATCCCTTTCCTCCAGGATTTTATTTGATAGTGACAATCACTTACACCAAATCACACCCTATCGAGGAGTGAACTTGTATAATTCATACACTGTGTCTGTCTTCTTTATTATTTTTGGCTGTAATAGACGTCTTTTGTCAAAAAACACCATGTGTATTCTCTATTTGGTTATGTCATCTCCATTAATTGGTGTTAGCTTTAAATTTACATAAATTCAATTTACTATAGTCATAGTTTTACAGCAAAGTTGCTAAAACTTACCTTGAATTCTTGGTGGGCTTCCTCTCTAATAAATTCTCAGAAAATGGACCTTGTGTTCAATATTCTTGCAAATTTATAACAGTAATTGAAAGTTATTTTGGTTCAATTCAAAATCCTGAGTTCATACTTTTTAAGTATTTGTCTCTGTCATTTTATCTTATGAAGTGTCGCTGTGATGTTTGTTGCCAATGCAATTATCCTTTCCTTTCCTTTACACAAATTTAGTTTTTTTGCCTAGTGCTAAATAATTCTTTCTTTAAGTCCAGTAGTTTTACTAGAAATTGTTTTGGTGTGGCTATTCTGATACTTTTCTCAGTTGCGTGATGTACCTTTGCAAATATGTAGGTTCAAGCCCTTTTAAAAATGTATTGTATGAATTATTACTATTTATGCTGATCATATTTTTTGTCTTCTTAGGATTACCTATTATATCTATGTGTTCCTTCTTTTTTTGTTGTCCAAACTGTTTTTATCTATGTATCTATTTGTGTAATCTCTGTTTATTTTTTCTCCTTGATATCCTTTGTTTTTCTTACCTTACCTTCCATAATATCTCTTCAAGTTTATTCAAGTTGAGCTCTCCTTATTGAATTTTGTTTTCCCTTAAAAAAATTCTGTCCTTAGTTCTGAAAGTTCTATTTTCCAGTATTTCTCTTATTTTATAATCTCATTTTGAGGTTTTTCTTTGGTTAGCACTTTTAATTATTCGCTTTAGTTTTCTTAATTTGCATTTGCTGTTTTCTTATGTTTATGCACTATATTACGGTTTACTTCTAATTTATCATCAGATTTTTTAGTGGATCTTCAGATTTTTGTGTTATTTTCTTCCCATATATTTATATGAGGTTTGGTCACAATTCATTTCTTTTGTACATATTGAGTGATATGGATTTTCTTATACTGTGAGGGGAACAGTTCTGCTGTGTGGAGCGGGTCCGGGTAGTTTCACTACTCGAGAGCTTCCTGTTTTGTTGTAATTATAAAGTATTAATAATATAACTTCTTTGTTTAGCCAGGTCCAAAGTTCTAAGATCTGTTCCCTTGGTACCTCCCCTCATCTACTACCCAGAATATGAAAATTCTTTCTCCTTCACTCTTAGGGTTTTTTTTTTCCTATTAAGCTTACCATTTATTCATAGAAGTTTTCCTCCCCCAATTCAGAGGAGATCTCCATCTTTCCAAAAAATGAGTTTTTGATCAATAATTCCAAAATCTTTCATGGGCTGGCTTAACTAGTGCCCTCGAATATTTTCCCTAGTAGGTCCTCATAGTTTTTTGGCCCTCTCCTTCACATTGGAACCAGTGTATCCTTATTCGATTTTCACAAATTGTTCTTACCTCTGCATGGTTGAGGATTTCAAAATGAGAGTACTCCGCTTTCGTGTGTGAATTTGGTGGGTTACTTATGGTTTCTGGATTTTTGATAGTTTTGATATCAAAGAGTGCTCCTTTCTCTACCCTACCCTATCTTTGTCTTGAACAGGTCATCCTGCTAGTGGTGGAATGACACCACCAACTTCTATTCTCAGAAGTTGATGGGCTATTTCGTCACTAGATTTTTTTGCAGATGTCCATGGATTTTTTATATATATATTTTTTTTACTATTCTTCTTGTTTAATGAAAGCATTGAAGAGATTTTAAAAGTGCATCTATACTTTTCTTCCTGGCATACTACCTGCACTCTCAATTCTATCCTCTCCATTTTCACAATTTGCTGAAAATATTTATACCATACTAAAATTATAGTTATTTTGGCTTTTAAAAGACATAGAGGAGAAGTGTATTTTGATTGTCATTATAAAGAAAACAAAATTTTCATTATGAATTTATAACCCATATAGTAATATTGTCTTGAGAACCGCATTGTTTTGACATCAATACTTTATAAAGAGCTTGTCAATTAAATATGTGAAAACAGCTGATGTGAATATTTAAATGACCCTGTGGAGATAAAATTCAAGTGGGGTCAACATATGAGGATTAGTTTTTTTTTTTTTTGAGTTAAAAACATTATTGTTTCTGATTTATAAAAAACCTCAATGAAGTCTGAACCAAGCCTGAAGGTCATTAGTGTGGTAAATTTAAAGTGGTCTTTGGAAAATAATTCTTACAAAATTACTATCATACAGAGTGGCAGACACATCCTAGCTTGACTCCTTGTGTCGAAAGTCGCTCTCTTCATTAGGTTACATTGTACTGCAAAAGTAATGGAATGTTGTTCCATTGCTTTATACTGTATAAAATTCTGTTTTAGCAGAATAGAGTCAGAGATTCTTCTGTGGGTCCTGAAGAAACAAAGAGCCAAATTGTAAACTGCCTATGGAGCGGGCCGCATGGTAGAAAACTATAGGCAGCCTTAGCGCCTAAGGGTGTCTTCATCAGCCAGGAGGAAATGCATTCTTCTAACAAGCTGAATGGGCTTAGGATGCAGATTTCTACTTCAGTGGGTCTCCAGATGAGGACATGGGAAAGCTGAAGTGGAGTACCCATCTGTCAGTTGTGCCTTGACTACTGACCTACAGAAGCTTGACATTGTAGGTGTGCGTTGTTTTAAGCTGCTAAGTTTTTGGCTATTTATTATGCATCCATAGAAAACAAATACAACATTATAAAGAGAAAGTGAAGGTGCGGGGAGAGGGGAAAGAAGAAAAGGAAGGAAAAACATGTTGAGGCAGGTGCTTTGACTATGTGATCTCAGTAATGGCTGGAATCTTTCAAACTCACAGGCTTTTTTCCAAATACGTTAAAAAATGACATTGTACTTTTAGAATTAACATTTCTGGGTGGTTGGCAAATCTTGTGTGTAATATCTTTTGCTTCCAAATTATCTTTTAGCAAGGCTTTTTGTCTTAAAATCATATGTATATGCGTGTGTGTATGTTTGTGTTTATAGTGTGTGTGTGTGTAGATAAGAGCACACTCCATCTCCTTACTTAATGTCATCCACAAGTTCTTGGAAACTATGACTATAGGCAAGACAATGTGTTATGAAACCATTTTTTTCTCGTAAGTGTTATAAAGAAATAATGTTGGAGAAAATGATGTTATTTGAGGACCTGCTGTTTATAATTTCCCTTAAAGTCACAGTTTCCAAGAATGTATTGATGACATTAAGTGAGGACTTACTATATATTTATGTCTCTAAATATATACCCAAGTATGCACGTGCTTGTGCATACACATACCCCTCATGCATATATATGATCTGAAATTATTGGACATTAAATTCTTTCATGTCTTATAATGAAAATTCCTCCCTCTGTTTGGTTTATTAATTACTTTAAGCAAAAATTAATGAAAAAAAATAAGTTCAAAATAATGACTGGTACATAAAAAATGTGTAGTGAAATAAATACAATCTCATGTGTTCTACTGAACGCTTTTGATATAGTTGTATTTCTGTCTTAGTTATGTAATATCAAATGTAATAAAGTAATGTAATTTTAATGATAAGATAATCTTTTAATTTAAATAAAAGCATTGAAACAACTTAGAAGGCATGATAAATAGAAAATTCAAAATATGCTAGATAATATTTCAAAACAGAATTCTTTATTTGGAAAATATTTCATTATAACATTTGATTCTGGAGCTCTTATGATATGGCATGGTATAAACTATAGTAAAGTAAGACTCAGCTGGTATTGAGACCAACAAATATTTAAAGACTTAAAAATATAATAGGTGTATTAGATGTTTGTTGCATGTTAGAAATATCTTTAAAATCTTCTAATCACGTTTTTTTTTTTTTTTTTTTTTTTTGAGACGGAGTCTCGTTCTTTTGCCCAGGTGGGACTGCAGTGGCGCGATCTCAGCTCACTGCAAGCTCTGCCTCCCAGGTTCATGCCATTCTCCTGCCTCAGCCTCCCGAGTAGCTGGGACTACAGGCGCCTGCCACCGCGCCCGGCTAATTTTTTCTATTTTTAGTAGAGATGGGGTTTCACCGTGTTAGCCAAGATGGTCTCGATCTCCTGACCTTGTGATCCGCCTGCCTTGGCTTCCCAAAGTGCTGGGATTACAGGCGTGAGCCACTGCGTCCGGCCTCTAATCACATTTTGTAGATGAGGAAAAGTCAGGTTAAGTCACTCATTCAAAGTACTATAGTAGGCAAATGGACAAACTAGGATTTGAAACTGTGCCCTGACTTATTTGTAGTTCATTGTTCTTCCCATTATTCTACAGTGCCTCTACTTTCGCCAGTAGATCTTAAAATATATGCCTATAATGGCAAATATTTGAGTACTTTTTATGTTATGTGTTGAGTCATAACAACCCTATGGAGTCAACCCTTTTGTTATCCACATTTTAAGGAAGAGGAGACTGAAGCTAATTGAATTTATGTAATTGCCCAATGTCATATTACTGGAAAGTGGAGAAGTGAGAATTCAAACTCCATAACATAAACTATTGACATATTTGTCCTTTTATACTCTTCTTATTGGTTGACTCTTTTGCTTTTCTTGGTTTTTCCTATCTCTTAACTCTATCTTAATGCCCAAGAAGGGCAGGATATGGTAAAGATTGTCAAGGATGGGAAATTCCAGGCTGTTTCTCATCTTGCGCCATCCTGAGCATGACTGAGACCAAAAAATATATATTCTGTTCTTAATTTCTGCCTTCTTCTCACTGGAGTTGTCAGAAGGGCCAGGTTGAGATGGTCAAGACGCAGAGATGAAAAAGATCCACTGAAGTTGGAATGCTCTTCAGAAATCAGCAGTGTGAGGAATTCTGGATAGACAGATGCATAATGTATGTCAGACTGACAGTATCTTCCCAGGTGAGGGGAGGTGGTTGGAAAGCCATTAGCATTGGTAGAAGTCCAGGTAAGGACACAAAGGCCTGGTGAGGAGTGAGTAACAGGTGAATACCCTGCTTTGCAGGCACAGCATGGTTTCAGAAAATCTTAAAAGGAACAACTGGCCATTGTCCAGAGAAATAGGCTAACAGCACCAAGCAAATCTAGTGAGAATCAACAGACCAAAGTCCGTGGGTAAAGAGGAAGGGAACACAGATATCTGTCCAGTGCTTGGAAGTGAGATAGGACACCAAACAGAACACTCCTGGAGAAATCACTCAAAGTAGAAACTCGGTAACGAGAACTGGGTGGTTAGGCAAAAATTGCTTAACAAGGAAAATGCAAGAGATGGTTATGAAAACAGGTTATGTACAAAAAAGAACTGATTATTTAAAAAATAACATTAATCTACGGGAATCAGGTACTAATGTTATCAAACCACTGAATTCCTTGATAGAATATTTTTAAAAGTCTCCCTAGCTATTTGATTCCGAAATCTGTGGTAGTGCTGAGCACGTACATTAAGCTTACTTAGCATTTGGTTTGGGCATCTGGGGAATGCAAGACAGAGAAACGTGTTAGCTTCCTGAGGCTTCTTTTAAGTTTTTTCCTCTTGTTCTGGTCAGGTGATTTCTATTATTTCTGCCATTTCCATTTCTAAAGTCACTGAAAGAAATTCTCGAATAATAGATTGAGCTCTGAAATTCTAGTTCTGGATTTATTCTTATAAAGGAAAAGTTGTTTAACATTAAACTTCAAATGTTAACGTATGAGGCCATAGTATCATGATTTTTTGTTTCTTTGAAGCTGCTATTTTTTATTTGTTTGTTTTTTGAGACAGGGTCTCTGGCACCCAGGCTGGAGTACAGTGGGTCAAACACAGCTCGCTGCAGCCTGGACCTGCTGGACTCACGTGATTCTCTCATGTCAGCCTCCCAAAGTGCTGGGATTACAGGCATGAGCTACCACACCTGGCACAAAGCTGCTATTCTGTATATTGAAACTTAAATATTTCATCAGTTTTTATTAATATCAGAAAACCTGAAACTGTTACTTACTTACATACATGGCCATCAAGTGATACTGGTTTGTTAGAGTGAAATAGAAAGTATGTTTTTTAAGATTTATGTATCTCCTCTACAATAGTACAATTTTTATGCTTCACTGAATAAAAGTACAATTTTTTAATATACTCATTTTATAGATGACATTTTTTCTACCCATTGAGTTGTGATACACATGTGTAACAGTGCAAATATCACAAGTGTACAGCTCAATAAATTTCCAAAAGCTGAATACACCTGCATAACCACAGCTCAAATTGTTATTAAAAAAGGGAAGTGCTAAATAATACCAGCCCTTAGCACATACATACCTCCCGAAAGTTACCATACTCCTAATTTGTGGTATTGTGGATTAGTTAATGGATTAGTTTTGTTGTGGGAAATATATGTAGATATGTGTGAAATCATGGACATAGAGTATGTCTAAATTTATTTCCCAACATTGTTTTAAAATTCACCTGCAATATTAAAAGAGGTTTATAGCCCATTTAATCTTGTTGTGTCATATTTCATTTGGTATATATTCCACAGTGCATTTATGCTAATGAACATCTGGGTGGTTTCAGATTCAGGACTATTATAAATAGTGCTGCTATGAACATTTTAGTACATGTCTTTTAGAAAACATAGGTTTTTTTGGGGGGTACAGTGGAATTTCTGGGCCATAGATTATGCTTATGTTAAATGCTAGTAGAAGCTGCCAAATAAGCAGGGCTTCAGAATTTAACTTATTCTATATTCTTGTCAATACTTATTACTTTCTATTACTATAATTTTAGCCATTCCAGCCTGTACGTTCATGTTATTTTGGATTCCAACTTTCATTTTTCTGATGGCTGATAAAGCTGAGCAACTTTTAATATATTTATTAAATATTTGAATATACTCTTTTAAAAATTATCTGCTCAGGCCTTTTGTTCATTTTTCTGTTTTGTTTCTTGTTTTGTAAAATTGGTTTTGGGTTCTTGATGTAATTTTATAGAAGTCCTCAGTTGAATATGTGTGGCATGAATGTCTTCTCCAACTATCTGGGTTTCCTTTTTATTCTTTTTTTTTTAAAAAAAATCTTTTTATTTTTAATTATTGTGGGTACATAGTAGGTGTATATATTTATGGGGTACATGAGATGTTTTGATGCAGGCATGTAATATGAAATAATCACATCACGGAAAATAGGACATCCGTCCCTTCAAGCATTTATCCATCCTTTGAGTTACAAACAATGTAATATCATTCCTTTAGTTATTTTAAAATGAACAATTAAATTATTATTAACTATAGTCACTCTGTTATATTATCAAATAGTAGGTCTTATTCATTCTTTTTAAGTTTTTGCCCCTATTAACCTTGCTCACTTTTCCACCAATCCCACACTACCCTACCCAGCCTGCACTCTCTACGTCCTTCTGCTCTCTATGTCCATGAGGTCAATTGTTTTAATTTTTAGATCCCACAGATAAGTGAGAACACACGATGTTTGTCTTTCTGTGCCTGGCTTATTTCACTTAACAAAATGTTTTTTGAAGAACATCCAAACTGTTATTCATAGTGGTTGTACAAATTTGCATTCTTACAAATTTACATTCTTACCAACAGTGTGCAAGTGTTCCCTTTTCTCCACATCCTCATCAGTATTAGTTATTGCCTGTCTTTTGGATAAAAGGCATTTTAACTGGGGTGATATGATATCTCATTATAGTTTTGATTTGCATTTCTCTGATGATCAGTGATGTTGAGCACCTTTTTATATGCCTGTTTGCCATTTGGATGTCTTCTTCTCTTGATAAATGTTTATGCAAATCTTTGCCCACTTTTTATCAGATTATTAAATTTTTCCCTATAGTGTTGTTTAAGCTGTTTATATATTCTGGCTGTCAATCCCTTGTCAGATGGATGGTTTGTGAATATTTTCCCCCATTCTGTGGGTTTATTTAAGCAAATAATAACTTTGTTTATTGTTTCCTTTGCTGTGCAGAAGCTTTTTAAAGTGATGTGATCCCATTTGTTCATTTGTGCTTTGGTTGCCTATGCTTGTGAAGTATTGCTCAAGAAATTTTTGCTCAGACCAATGTCCTGGAGATATTCCCCCAGTGTTTTCTTGTAGTTCTTTCATAGGCTGAGGTCATAAATTTAAGCCTTCAATCCATTTTGATTTGATTTTTGAATTTGGTGAGAGATGGGGTCCTGTTTAATTCTTCTGCATATGGATATCTAGTTTCCCCAGCACCATTTATTAAAGAGACTGTCTTTTCTTCAGTGCAGGTTATTGGCACCTTTGTGGAAAATGAGTTCATTGTAGATATGTGGATTTGTTTCTGGGTTCTCTATTCTGTTCCATTGTTCTATGTGTCTGTTTTTATGACAGTATCATGTTGTTTTAGTTACTATAACTCTGTCACATAATTTGAAGTCAGGTAATGCCATTCCTCCAGTTTCGTTTTTTGCTTAGGATAGTTTTGGCTATTCTGAGACTTTTGTGGTTCCATATACATTTTAGTATTTTTTTTTTTCTATTTCTGTGAAGAATGTCATTGGTATCTTGATAGGAATTGCATTGAATTTGTAGATTGCCTTGGGTAGTATAGACATTTTAACAATATTGATTCTTCCAGTTCATGAACGTAGAATATTATTCCATTTTTTGGTGTCCCCTTCAACTTCTGTCATCAGTATTTTACAGTTTTAATTGTAGAGGTCTTTTATTTCTTTGGTTAACTTAATTTCTAGTATTTAATTTTATGTGTGGCTATTTTAAATGGGATTAGTTTTTAAATTTCTTTTTCAGATTGTCCACTGTTGGGATATAGAAATGCTACTGATTTTTGTATTTGGTACAGTATCCTGCAACTTTAATAAATTTGTTTATCAGTTCTAATAGTTTTCTTGTGTAATCTTTAGGTTTTTCCAAATATAAGATCATATAATCTGCAAACAAGGATAATTTGACTTCTTTCAAATTTGATGGCTTTTATTTCTTTTGTCTGAATTACTCTTTCTAAAACTTCCAGGACTATGTTGAATAACAGTGATGAAAGTGAGCATCCTTGTCATGTTCCAGATATTAGAGGAAAGGCTTTCAGGTTTTCCCCATTCAGTATGATACTAGCTGTGGGTGTGCCATATATAGCTTTTATCATATTGACATATGTTCCTTCTATACCCAATTTTTTGAGGGCTTTAACATCAAGGGATGTTTAATTTTATCAAATGCTCTTTCAGCAATAATTGAACACATCATATGGTTTTTATCCTTCATTCTGTTGATATGATGTATCACTTTGACTAATTTGCAAATGTTGAAGCATCTTTGCATCCCAGGGATAAATCCCATTTGGTCATGTTGAATGTTCTTTCTAATGTATTGTTGTATTTGGTTTGCTAGTATTTTGTTGAGGATTACAGCTTCAATATTCATCAGATATTGGCTTGGAGTTTTCTTTTTTTTTGATGTGTGTTTGTTAGGTTTTGGTATCAGGGTAATAATTGCCTTATAGAATGAGTTTGGAAATATTCTGTCCTTCTCTATTTTTTAGAATAGTTGGGTAGGGTTAATATTAGTTCTCTTTAAGATTTTGGTAGAATTCAGCAGTGAAACCATTGAGTCCTAGGCTTTTCTTTACTGGGAGACTTTGTTATCCCTTCGATCTCATTACTAGCCATTGGTATATTCAGGTTTCAGAGTTCTTCATGGTTCAATCTTTCTGGTTGTATATTTCTAATTATTTATCTAATTCTCATTGATTTTCCAATTTGTTGACATATAGTTGCTCATAGTAACCGCTAATGATCCTTTGCATATCTGTGATATCAGTTGCAATGTCTCCTTTTTCTCTCTGTTTTCAACTCTGATTTTATTTATTTGTATTTTTTCTCTCTTTTTTTTTAGTTTGGCTAAAGGTTTGTTAATATTGTTTAATGTTTCAAAAAAACAAAATTTTGTTTTATCGATCTTTTGTACTTTCAATTTTATTTATTTCTGCCCTGGTCTTTATTATTTATTTTCTTCTCATAATTTTGGGATTTGGTTTGCTCTCTTTTTTAAGTTCTTTAAGGCGTATCATTAGATTGTTTATTTAAAGTTTCTCCCCCTCTTTGATGTAGGCACTTATAACTCTAAGCTTCCCTCCGAGTATTGCTTTTGCTGTATCCCATAGGTTTTGGTATGTTGTGTGTCTATCATCATTTGTTTCAAGAAATATTTCCGTTTTCTTCTTAATTTCTTCATTGACCCACTGGTCGTTCAGGAGCATATTGTCTAATTTCTATGTATTTGTATAGTTTCCAAAATTCCTCCTGTTATTAATTGCTAGTTTCATTCCATGGTGGTCAGAGTAGACACTTGATATTATTTCATTTTTTGAATGATTTAAGACTTCTTTTGTGACCTAACACATAGTATATCCTTGAGAATGATCCATGTGCTAAGAAAAAGAATGTGTATTCTGCAGTCATTGGATAAAATATTCTGTAAATATCTATTAGATCCATTTGGTCAATAGTGCAGATTAAGTCCAATGTTTCTATATTGATTTTCTGTCTGAAAGATCTGTTTAATGCTGAGTGTGGGGTGTTGAAGACTCCAACTATTATTGTATTTTGGTTTATATCTCTCTTAAGCTCTGATAATGTATGCTTTATATATCTGAGTGCTCCAGTGTTGGGTGCATATATATTTAAGATTGTTATATCCTCTTGCTGAATTGACCCCTTTATCATTATATAGTACCTTTGTTTGTCTCTTCTTATAGTTTTTGTCTTGGAAACTAATTTGTCTTATATAAGTATAGCTACTCCTGCTCTTTTTTGGTTTCCATTGGCATGGAATATCTTTTTCCATTTATTTACTTTTAGTCCATATGTGCCTTTTTAGATGCAGTGTATTTCTTGCAGGTGACAGATCAACAGGTCTTGTTTTTCTCATCCATTCACCCCATATTTTGTCTTTTGATTGCAGAGTTTAGTCCATTTACATTCAGTGTTATTATGAACAAGTAAGGACTTCTTTCTGCTGTTTTGTTACTCGTTTTCTGGTAGTTTGGTCTTCATTATTTTCTTCCTGTCATTCATTAATGGAGATAATTTTCTCTGGTGATATGATTTAATTTCTCACGTTTTATTTTTTGTGTATCCATTGCATGTTTTTTGGTTTGAGGTTGCCATGAGGCTTTCAGATACTATGTGATAACACATTATTTTAACCTTGTGACAACTTAACACTATTTGTATGAACAAACAAGCAAAAAGAGAACTATAAAAACTATATGCCTTAATTTCATCCCCCCACTTTTTAACTTTTATTTCTGTTTCTATTTTATTGTACTGTCTATAACTTGAAAAGTCATTGTAGTTATTATTTTTGATTGGTTCATTGTTTTGTCTTTCTACTTATGATAAGTGTAGTTTACACACCAGTTACAGTGTTAATAATATTCTGTGTTTTTCTGTGTACTTAGCATAACCAATAAGTTTTGTACCTTCAGGTGATTATTTATTGCTCATTAATGTCCTTTTCTGTCTGATTAAAGTACTCCCTTTAGTATTTCTTGCAGGATAGGCCTGGTGTTGATAAAATCTCTCAGCTTTTGTTTGTCTGGGAAAGTTTTCATTTCTCCTTCATATGTGAAGGATATCTTTGCTAGATATAATATTGTAAGGTAAAGTTTTTTTTTTTTTTTTACTTTAGTACTTTAAATATGTCATGTCATTCTCTCCTGGCCTGTAAGGTTTCCACTGAAAAGTATTTTTCCAGAGGTATTGGAAATCCGTTATATGTTATTTATTTCTTTTCTCTTATTGCTTTTAATATCCTTTCTTTATCCTTGACCTTTGGGAGTTTGATTATTAAATGCCTTGAGATAGTCTTCTTTGGGTGAAATCTGCTTGGTGTTCTATAACCTTCTTGCAGATATTGATATCTATCTCTAGATTTGGGGAGTTCTCTGTTATTCCTTTGAATAAACTTTCTACCTTCATCTCTTTCACTACCTCATCTTTGAAGCCACCTTTAAGGCCTTAAATTTGCCCTTCTGAGGCTATTTTCTAGATTCTGTAGGCATGCTTCATTGCTTTTCGTTCTTTTTGCCTTAACCTCCTATGTGTATTTGAAAATAGCCTGTCTTCAAGCTCAGTAGTTCTTTCTTCTGCCTTATTGATGTTGCCATTAAAAGACTGAGGCATTCTTCAGTATGCCAATTGCATTCTTTTCACTCCAGAATTTCTGCTTGATGCTTTATAATTATTTCAATCTTTTTTTTTTTTTCAGTTTGTCTGGTGGAATTCTGAATTCTTTGAATTCAGAATTCTGTGTTATCTTGAATTTCTTTGAGTTTCTTCAACACAGCTATTTTGAAGCCTCTGTCTGAAGGATTGCATATTTCTGTTTTGCTTGGATTGGGCCCTGCTGGCTTATTATTTTAGTTGGTGAGTTTATGTTTTCCTGTATGGTATTGATGCTAGTAGTTGCTCCTTAATGTTGAATGTTGAAGGGTTAGTCATTTATTGTAGTCTTCACTGCCTAGGTTTGTATGTACCTGTCCTTCTTGGGAAAGCTTTTCAGATATTTGAAAGGACTTGAGTGTTGTGAACTAAGCTGTTTGTGCTTTAGGAGGCACCCCAAGCCCAGTAATGCTCTGGTTCTTGCAACCTTGCAGAGGTACCATCTTGATAGTCTTTGACAGGATCTGGGAGAAGTCTCTGGATTACCAGGCAGAGACTCTTGTTCTCTTTCTGTGCTTTCTGCCAAACAAACAACATCTCTTTGTCCCTTTACTGAGCCACCTAAAGCTGCAGGTGAAATGGCAAAAGCTCTCCTGTGGTCTCCACCACTAGGACTGTGCTGAGTTAGACCTATAGCCAGCACAGCACTTGTCCTCACCCAAGATCTGCTGTAAACCACGCCTTGACTACTACCTATGTTTGCTCAGGGCGTTGGAGCTCTACAATGAGAATGTGTCACAGCCAGCTAGGCCTGTGTCTCTCTCTTCAAGGTGGTGAGTACCCCAAGGTCCCATGTGGGTCCAGAGGTCCTGTGTGGGAGTCAGGGGCTAGAGTCAAAAAACTTAGAAGTCTACCTGGTATTCTATTGTAGTGCAGCTGAGTTGGTGCTCAAACCACAAGATGCAGTTTTTAGCACTCTTCACTCCCCTTTCTAAAGGCAGGGGAGGCTTATCTGGTAGCCACTGCCACCACAGGCCACAGGGAGTACTGCCAGACTACCACCAATATTTCCCTAAGGCCCAAGGTCTCTTAAGTTAGCACCTGGGACTCACCCTTTGGGACAGTGGGCTCCCCTCTGGCCCAGGGCAGGTCCAGAAATGCCATCTGAGTCAAGTTCTGGAATAGAGAACGCCAAGAGCCTGCTTGGTGCTCTACTTTCCTGTGTCCATGCAGGTACTTGAAGGCAGCCCATCTCAGAGGCTTACTTAAGGCCCTTGATGTAGTACCTGGGTATTACTTCTGGTTATTCAGGGCCCAAGGGCTCTTCAGTTAGTAGGCGATGAATGCTGCCAGGACTGTTTCCTTCCCTTCAAGGCAGTGTAGGTGCCCTTCTGGCACAGGGTGTGTCTAGGAATGCCCTGAATTCCAGGAGCTCAGACCTGGAATAAGGGCTTCACATCTCAACTGGTGTCTTATCCTGCTGTGGCTGAGTTGGTATCCAAGATGCAAGATAATGCCCTCCCCACTCTTTCCTCTCCTCTCCTCAAGTGGAAAGACGGGTCCTCTTTTGAAGCCTTGAGCTGTGCAGCCTGGGATTAGGGGAAGAGTGATGCTAAGTCTTCCGTAGCTGCCCCGGCTGGTCTCTTAGTAGGTCGAGTGCCCCCCATCCACAGTCTGCGGGCCCAGTTCAACACTAGGACTCACCTAAGAGCTACAGTCCTTCTGTACTGCCTTTCAAGGTTTCTTCAAGACCCAGAGCACTTTGGTCCTTGGTGGTAAGGTTTGCAGGAACTTAAATTCCAACAGCTAGGATCTGGGGATTTCCCTCTGGCTAGGACTGGTTTAAATGCTCCCTCCATGGGCGGTTGTTAGGTTAGTTTGGTCTGGTTTTCCTTTTTCCTCTATTAGGACAGCACTGAGTTTAATGCCTCATAATTGCTGTGCTCTCCTTCCCCCAGCACCCATAGATGCTGTCTGCACCATGCAGCCCCTGCTGGGGGTTGGGGAAGGGATGGCACCTGCAATTCAATACTTTTTCTCTATCTTTTCAGTGCCTCTTTCAGTGATAGGAAGATAAAACTAGGTACTAAGAGGGCTCCCCTGATTTTTAGTTCTCATGAAGATGTTTTTTCAATGTAGATAGTTGTTAAATTGGTGCGGGGGTTACAATTAATGGATCCTTCTTTTCTGACTCTTGTTCTACCATGCCTTTTTATTCTCGATGGTCTCTTTTGATAAACAGAAGTAGCATAAATTTAGAATTTCTTAAAGTCATTGTTAGTGTTTTTTATATCTTGTTTAAAAATCTTTATTTACTTCAAGCTGCAAAGATGTTCCCTGTTTCTCTCTATTTCATTGTTTTACTTTTCACATTTAAACCTGAAAACCATATAGAAGTGGAACGGATATGTGTGTATGTGTATGGCATGTGAAGTAAGAGGTCAAGATATTTCCCTGCTCCTCTAATGGAAATGAATTGCCGTAGACCAAGTTTCTAAAGAGGCTACCTTTTCCCCTGTACATTGTAGTCTTTTAGCATGACATTTTTAGAGAAATTTTCAAAAGAATGAAATGTTTAAGGTATAAATTATTACCTTTCTTATTGATATATAAACTTTTCTTTGACTTATACTAAATTTTAGATTGCAATTTTTAAAACAGTTTGCTAACAGTCTAAAATTTTAAGAAATTTTAAAACTAGGAGTGTCAGAGTATTGTTGAATTGTTTAGAAACCAAGCATCCTTCCTTTCTCAAACAAATGCAGTCTACTAATGCATCACTTTTCCTCCAATTAATTAAAAAAATCCCCTTAGTTTGCCTTTCTAGCTCACAGAAGAGCTGTTTCCTTTATCAGAAGCAGAAAAATTGATAAATATATAAGTATCAATGTTAGGCCCTTGAGAGCATAAAATTCATCATGTCTGTTTTCTCCATCAGAAAGAAAAGCGTGCTTTTCAGATGCCCCCTCTCTTAATTTTCTTTATTGGATTCTATAGGTTCATACACATATATTTACAAAAGGTACTCTTTAGTGTTTTAAAAGTCTCAGACAAAAATGGACTATTGGCTTTCAGTCCACTAACTATTCTAGGCAAAATATTTCTTTCACAAAACACCGTGTTCCTGTGATTAGAAAAAATATTCTGAACTATATAAAATATTTTAAGAATAAATATATTCTATTTCTATATATGAATAAAATATTTTAATTATATTCAATATATGGATATTGAATGAACTTTATTCTATATTTTAAACACTGACAGTTTGTGTCTTTATATATATATATATATTTTTAAACACAGGTAGTCACACACAAACACATAAAAGACTGTTTTATTCTAGGAGCTTTTAATCAAAATATCCATGTATATATTTAATTATACTTTTATGCACATGCATATTATTTTCTAAGTGTTTATGTGTCTTCAGAATCTTTTTTAATGTCTTAAACTCTACATTTCTAAGGAAACCTGTCTTTAAAATAGTTTCCTTTACATGACTACCATCACAACATATATGCGATAAGTGATTTTTTTAGTTCAGTGCTTTAGGGTAAACTTCAAGGTGAAGTCTCTAACTATGTCAATAAAACATTCCTTGCTTTTGTGTTGGATTGTTATATATCAATTTTATCTTAGGCAAAATAGCATATATAAAATGAATTTTAACCTTAAGCTTTCTTCTGGTATAGCCTAAAATTTAAATGTATAAGCTATAGCATCAACATATTTAGTAAAAAGCCAATGTAATATTGGCCTAAGACAGTTTTTATCATTAGGCCATGGAGAAATTAATTTACCCAGAGTAAAAGAGTGAAAAATGATGCATTGCTTTTTAAGTCACACTTTTCTGTGTTGAAAATTCACAAAAAGAAACTAATGTGTATGAAGGCTGATTGGCAGCCACCTTGACTGTAGACCCATCAAAAGGTGGAAATAAAGAGCGTAAGATCTAAAGGCACAAAGCCAGTAGCTTTAGTAGTTTAAATGTAGAGAGAAGACACAAAATGAGAACAAAACCTTCAAGGGCTATGATTTTATCTCTGAAGGTGAGAACCATTTTGCCTGTAGAATTGCAGAGTTCCAGGGACTGAAAGTTGGCCGAGCAGTATGAATGTTCTGTGGTCTGTAGCAATGGTCAGTTAGCAATATTTTATGAAGTTAACCTCAGAAAGTTTAAGATTAATCAAGTGTGCAAAACACATTGGCGTCACTCCTGGGATTGTTAGCAGTCACCTACAACTTTTAAGGCATCACACAGAGGACCATAAAAAAACCATAAATGCTGTAAGCACTTATGTAATCATGGCCATCAGACAATGAACACAAGGCTTCTTGGTTGGGCTAGTTATCTGGCTAACGCATTCTAGGCAATTCCCAGTAAGAACTTAAACTTTACAAAGATTCTAATGTCTCCAAGGCATATTGGTTTGTATTGCGGAAAACTGTAGCTTTCCCAGAAATTTAGCTCATCCAATGGGAAAACCTGAAACTCCTATTGTTGAGTGGTGGATTTTTGTGTCCTTCTCTCTACCTAGAGATTAAAAACTATCCTGAGTGGCTAGTCCCAAGATTGATTGGAAGATCTAACCAGGACATCAAAGGGTTGCCCAGGAGTCTTCTGGCTTAGAAACCAGGAAGACATGGCAGATTTTTTTTTTCTAATATGTATTCCAAATTTTCATGAGCTAATATAGGCTTTGAGGTCTTAGGGCATTTTATTTGTAACCAAGATGGCTATAAAACTTATTGTTAAGCCATCAGTCGAACTGAAGTCAATCAGAGAAAGTCATATATCTTTTGCAGGAACATTTTGGGGAAGGAAAATGCTGTTGTTCTGATTGTAATGTTATTTTGAATTTTTTAAATTTTTAATTTATAAAATAACCACACATTTGTTTTAATGATCCCTAAGGCATAATATGAAGATAATTGAGCATAATTTGAGAAAAGAGAGAAAATAGCATGAATGTTTCCAAATTTATTCCTTACAGCAGCGGTCCCCAACCCCTGGGCCATGGACCTGTACTGGTCTGTGGCCTGTTAGGAACTGGGTTGCATAGCAGGGGATGAGGAGGCACAAGGTGTTACCGCCTGAGCTCCACCTCTCATCAGCTCAGTGGTGGCATTACATTCTCATTGGAGCATGAACTCTATTGTGAACTGGGCTTGTGAGGGATCTAGGTTGTGCGTGCCTTATGAGAATCTAATACCTGATGACCCGAGGTGGAATAGTTTCATCCCAAAACAATCCCTCACCCCCACCTTCTGTGGAAAAATTGTCTTCTACAAAACCGGTCCCAGGTGTCAAAAAGGTTGGGGACCAGTGTCTTACAGAATTTTATGTAATTCAACGGCTCAAATATGGTGAATTGCAGCCTAATTCTATTTTTGTGATTTCACCAGATGAAGAAAACACCTAATCTAGAGCACCTAAAAAAAGTTTCCATGAGAGTTTGCTTAGCTTGGATACTCTAATTTTTACTATTTTCTCCTCTTCTCAGGGAAACAAAGTGTCATAGTTACGCAAAACATGGCTCCGGAGGTAAAAATTCACCATTTATGTGGATCCTAGGTTTTTCTCCAAAGTAACGAATCTTTCATACAATTTAATCCTCTGCAGGTTACTTTATTCTGTAGAAAATTTCATGGTTATAGAGCAATTTCTAGAATACCCAACTTGAGCAAACATTTTCTAACACCAAAATCCATTTGACCAAAAAAAAAAAAGTGATGCTAAGCCATGTCATCTCGTTTCCAGCTCTCTCTGAAGTGCTGAATGTATAATCAATAGACCCACCTGGAAACTCACTTTTAGCTGAGGGACTTCAGAATATCTACTTGTATGCCAGGTGAGAACGCCAAGACAATGCAGTATGAGAAATAAGTTTTTTCTAAAAAAATCTACATTGCAGTGGACAAGTGACACATGAGGATGGAGAGAGGACAGAAGAGAATATAATTTAGGGGACTACAGAGAAGAAAGAAACAAAAATAGAGGAAAGGAGTTTTGCTTTATCTTGTGAGGGAAACAAGCATGGACATAAAAACTTTGAGTAAAAAACATGCTACTTGCCTCCATCATATAGGTGTTTATAACAATTGCTTAAAAAGAAACAACTATTGGCAGAGAAATTAGTCTTAATGTAATGTCTAAAGTGAAATGTCCATTGCAGAAGTAATAGCAGTTGAAGTACCAACATATACTCCAGTCATCTCTCTCAGGTACATTCTTGGTTGTGTATAAAGGAATTATTTCAATTATCTTTTCCCCTGATCTTTAGATATTGGTGTTCATATGTAAAATTCCTATTCATTTTTCAAGACCAAATTCTGGTTGATACTTCTCTTGCCTTCACTGGTATAATCCAGATTCTTCTTGCTTAGAGATACTTATACATGTTCTATTATAGTGCTCAACATATTGTGTTATATGTAATTGTAGGTCTCTGTCTTTTTCATGTCTTATATCCTGTCTTCATGTCTTGCTTGTACCTTAGTTTTGAACAGTATGTGGGACATTGAGTTGCCCTGTAAGTGATTATTGGATTACTAAATATAGAGGAAAAAGACTCTTTCTCTAGACTGACACCTGAGTTATAAAATAATTCTCTTCTTGACCCAGACTCATTTGTTCAGTCAATGAATATTGATTAAGTACCTAGAATGATCGAGCACACAGCTGCTTCTAGTGTGTTCACCATTGTTATATTTTATTTTTTTCTCATGTTTCTTTTTTTCCCACGGTTATTTTATTAGCAAATAGGGGATGTTCATTTTTACTTTGTCTTCATATTTATTTACAAGTTTGTAGAACACAAATATTTTCAAAAGGAAAATAAAAGCTGCCTAATATATATTTTTTTAAATTGGCATTGGTTTATAGAATTTCCTTGCTATTATCTTCTATGTGTGTGTATATATGTGTGCAAATTTGTGTTTGCCTATTTTATCCTGTAGTACTCATAAGAACTGAATCTGCCTATTGTTATAAGGAAGTGTATGGATGTTCTTTTGATAAGAGTAAAACTTATGTATAAGGGGGAAAAGACACATAGCCATTAATTAATTAATCTATGTATTTACTTATTCAGTAAAGATTTATTGATGTCTTACTATTTATATAAGAGCTTAAGCATGCCAAAGACCTGGATTTTGCTCTCAGAGAGCATTTTGATTCTCTGCTACTTCCTCTTTTTGCCAAAATGGGATGTTCAATAATTTTGACTACATTTATTTCTTTTCTTATTTGACTACAAACTAATGATCAAGGTCCTTTGAACTTTGCACATCTCTTTGTAAGTGGATAATGCTTATAATTTATTGTTTCCAAAACACATCCCTGGATGTAACCTTATACCTTCTTTTCAACCATCACTTATAAGGCAAAGCAGAGATTCAAGGAATTCCTGTAAGGAGAGGGAAGTGCATTCTGTAAACCTTCTGTTATATGTCTATTTGGTAAGAACTTCTTGAATATCCGCAAAAATGCTTGTTGTTTCTGGATATTTACCAAAATATTACTGATTTCATAGCATGTTTACCATGGAAATACAGAATCAGCCATTTTTCAGTTTAGTTGAGAAAGTATTTGTAATTCTTAAGCCACTAATTGCATTCAGTTTTCACTTGGCTTGATTAATGTTCCGTATTGATGACAATCTCAAGAGTAAATTCAGACTTGCTTTGTAATTTCTAAGGGATTTTTTTTTCCATGTAAAAAATTATCCTGTTATATGTGTTATTGAATGTTGAACCATTCAAATACCTGAGCTGAATGTTTTTTATATTAGTTTATAAGAATTGATTATAACTTGGTAATGAGTAAAATTCCGGTTATACAGCAATTCAGTGATTTCAGGTGCCATAAGTCACTTAAACTTTTTGGCCAAAAGATATATATCTCTCCCATTTTAATTCAATGAAAACCTTATTTTAGGAACTAAAATTCTATTAAAATGATTTTTGCTTTCTACCATTTTAATTATGTTTAAAATATCTATAAAATTATGGTTGCTTCTTTGAAAATTATTTGTCCCTGTAGAGCTCCTATCTTTGATAACAGGATCTATAATTCACCCACTATTATTCAAAGAGTCGGATCTGTTATACATCTCTTTGAAATAAAAATTAATGGCCTGAAAAATTAAGCATCCATTTTCAAGGACTATGAGATTTCAGTCTATGGGATGCCTCTAGCTTTTTAAATGTTATATTGTAACATTACTGGCTGTAGGTTTGCAAGAACAAAGTGCCCTTATTAAATATGAAAATATTTTGTTTTTTAGGATCATTCATTTCATCCAGCACATACATAATTATTTGGCATATAGATGTGGAGCTAGGTACTGGAAATAAAATGATAAACAAAAACAGGCAAGTTTCTATTCTTGTGTTGCTTAGTCTGGTGGGTAAGTCAGGCATTAATTAATCACAAACATTATAAATGCAGCTGTGACACATGCTATAAAGGAGGTGTGCATGATAATCCACATGAGAGATTTCACTTGGCGTGGAGGTCAAGGAGGGCTTTGAGGAGGAAGCATTACTTAAGCTGAGATGCCAGGAATAAATAAGCTTTTAAGCCATGAAGAAAGGAGAAAGAAAGCTGATAGGCTGAGCAAAAATTGTTTCAACATGTGTGCTAAGAAATAATGGAAATGAAATTACAATTGTTTATTACTGAAGGACATGGTTTTCTTTTCCAAGATGGTTGACTAGAAGAATTTCCAGGATACGTTATCCACTTAGAAGAACCAAAGTAATGTGTAGACAATCACACTTTGAATAAATTATTCAAGCGGGAACATGGGAGATCAACAGAAAAGCAAAAAGAAACTTTAGAATCTAGGAAGAAGAAAGAAAACAAGCAGCTTGTGTGTCATCCAGGAACTGGGAGTGAATTCCCAATATGGGAGAGGGTGAATGAATGCCTTTTTGTGGTCCACTTTCCCACTGCGGAATCATGCAATCTGGGCCACGGGATAGCATATTCACCCTCCCAAGCTCTCAGTCTAACTTAGGGAGTGACTATGAGACTGTGAGAATTGTTCCAGGGCATGTCCTATGCCCCTTTTGAGACCCCAGCAACTACTATAAGACATCATTCTTGATCCTAGCTCTTGAATAGCTGCACACGGTCCTGGGAACCAGCAGTGTCAATCCTAGCTGTTAGGGAAACTTGTGCAGCACTTGAAAAGGTGTGGGCTCTCACACCCAGCTCTGAGAAACAAGTGTAGCCTGGGACCCAGCTGCTGGTGCTAGAACCAAGCACCCACTTCCTCTGGGAACTGAGCGGAAGGAGAGTTGCTATGAAGTCCTGATCTTTAGACGGGGAGAAGCTCCTATAGCCTGAAACTGAGTTGCTGACTTGGTACAAACCATCGGCACTGACTGAAGAGTTGGATGGGCTGTGACAGCTGGGGTAGGGGAGGGAGCTCCACTGGGACTGGGACATGAGAAAATGTAAGTCCCACTCTTACTGGCTAAAATTGTAGCTGTTGGGTTCATACCACCCTCCCCATGCTAAGACCTTAGTGCATCAGTGGTTGCTCCTCACCCAAGCATTTCACCAGGGGCCTGAGAACTGCCCCACCCCATCAAGACTGGTGTATGCATCCATTATTGAGGGGGCTTGAGCACAAGCTTGCCTGGTCCAATTTCACTGCTCCCCTCCAAGACACAGCACAGTATTCAGGTTCTTGGGTGTTTCACAACCCAGTCCACCACGTGGGACACCTAAGCACTTCTCAGGAACAGAGGTTGGTCATAAGCATCCTACAGCTACCTCCCTAGCCGGGTCTTACCTGCAAGTGCCATCTACTGGCCCACACAGCCACTTGCAACCATTGCTAACATGAAAGCACAGTGCTTGGAAACTGGAAAGCCTCATGACCACTACTACCACCATTCCCCATACCACCCTGACTGCTCATGAGGCAGAATGCCCAAAAGCCAACTCACTCACTTGGTATACTGCTACTACAACTGGCATCCAAGAGGCCCACATATTGGCTTGCCAGGAGCCACCAACAAAGGTGCCAGCATATGGTGCACAGAAAACAAGGATAGATACACTTAATCCACCACTGAAATCTGAAGACAGGCCCATCTGGCATTCCAGTCCCTAGCACAACTTCATCACAGCTCCTGCCAATAGCAGCACCCTAACATGACTGAGGAAAATGCAGATACCACTAATGCTATTTATAGCTAAAAAAAATTGTAGACTATTCACTACTGCATGTACTCAGAGGCAAAACTAAAGGCCCTTACCCAATCAACATCATAGCTGTATCTTCAAGGAAAAAGTCTACCCTCACCAAACAAAAGTAAATTCAAAATTAGAAGCACCTGTTGCTACAAATTCACAGGAAACATCAAAAGCAAAGACATATGACACCCTCAAATGAACACAATAATTCTCAAGCAATAGATCCTAACCAAAAAGAAATATTTGAAATACCAGTTAAAGAACTCAAAATATTGATTTTTAAAGAGCTTGAGGAGATGCAAGAGAAATCTGAAAACCAATACAAAGAACTCAGAAAATCAATTCAGGAAGTGCATAAGAAATTTACTAAGGAGATAGATATTTACAAAAAACAAACCAAATAGAAATTCTGAGACAGAAAAATTCTTTGAAGGAAATACAAATACATTTTAAAGCCTCAACAACGGATTTGACCAAGGAGAAGAAAGAATTTCAGAACTTGAAGACAGATCTTTTAAAATAATTCAGTTAGACAAAAGTAAAGCAAACATAAAAAAGAATAAACAAAGCCTTTGAGACATTTTGAACTATGTTGGTTGAACACACTCATGAATTATTTGTATTTCCTGGGTGTGAAGAGAGGTTAAAAGGTTTAGAAAACCTATTTAACAAAATAATAGATGAAAACTTTTAACATATACGAAAAGATGTAGACATCTACATACAGGGAGCTCAATGATCCCCAGGCAAATATAATGTAAAAAACGAGTTTGCCGCAGTATATCATAATCAGACTGTCTGAAGTCAAATTGAAAGAATGAATTCTAGAATCACAAGAGGAAACTGCTCGGTCATCTATAAAGGAAACTCCTTCATACTACCAGTGAACTCTTCAGCAGGAACTATACAGACTAGAAGAGTAAGGGAGGATATATTCAAAGTACTGACAGAAAAAAAAACAGGCAAGGATTCTGGTTTCGGCAAGATTAAGTATCATAAATAAAGGAGAAATATTAAGTATCATAAAGGAGAAATATTAAGTATCATAAATAAAGAAGAAATAAAGCCTTTCTCAGATGAGAAAATGTCAAGGGAATTCATCACCAGTAGACTGACCTGATAAGAAATAGTCAAAGGAGTCCTAAACTTGGAAGCAAAAGAATGATATTCACCATCATGAAAACATAAGAAAGTATAAAACTCACTGGTAAAGAAGTCACACAAAGGAGGAAGAGAAAGGAATCAAATGACACCACTACAGACTTCCATAAAACCACAAAGACAGAGAAAAAGGAAGACAATTCACAAAACAACTAGAAAAAAGTTAACAATATTACAGGAACAAAATCTCACACATCAATATTCACCTTGAATATAAATGGATTAAATGCATCACTTAAAAGATATAAATTGATTGAATGGGTAAAAGACCATGATCCAAATATATGCAGCTTACAAGAAACTGATCTTGTCTATAAAGACACATATAGATTGAAAGTAAAGGGGTGGAGATATTCCACACAAATGGAAACTGAAAGTTAGCAGGAATAGCTATACTTATATCAGATAAAATCGACTTTAAGTTAAAAACAGTAAAAAGAAAGACAAAGAAGGTCATTATGTAATGATGAAGGGATTAATTCAGCAATTCTGAACACATATGCAGCCAACACTAGAGCACACAGATTTGCAAACAAATATTACTAGACCTAAAGAGAGAGAGAGACAGAGGAATACAATAATATTTGGAGACTTCAACACCCCAATCACAGCATTAGATCATCTAGACAGAAAATTAACCAAGAAGCATTAAACTTCAATTTAACTTCAGACCAAATGGGCCTTACAGATATTTACAGAACTTTCTACCCAACAACTACAGAATATACACTTTTCTCATCAGTGCATGAAATATTCCTTAAGACTGACCATATGTCTGGCCATAAAACAAGTCTCAGTACATTTTTTAGAATCAAAATTTTATGAAATATCTTCTCAGACCACAGTAAAATAAAACTAGAAATCAATAGCAAGAGGAACTTTGGAAATTGTACCAATACATGGAAATTAACCTGCTCCTGAATGATCATTGGGTCAATAAAGAAATTGGCTGGGCACAGTGGCTCAAGCCTGTAATATTAACAATTTGGGAGTCTGAGGCAGATGGATCATTTGAGGTCAGGAGTTTGAGACCAGCCTGGCCAATGTGGTAAAACCCCATCTCTACTAAAAATACAAAAAAATTAGCTAGGTGTAGTGGCACACACCTGTAATCCCAGCTACTCCGGAGGCCTAGACACAAGAGTCGCATGAGCCTGGGAGGCAGAGGTTGCAGTGAGCCAGATTGCACCACAGCACTCCAGCTTGGGTGACAGACTGAGACTCTGTCTCAAAAAAAAAAAAAAAATTAACACAGAAATTAAAAAATAAATAAATAAAATGGGGACAAAACATACCAAAACTTGGATATAGCAAAAGCAGTGCTAAGAGGGAAGTTTGCACTAAAGGCTGTATGTGTCTGTTCTCACACCACTGATAAAAACATACCTGATATTGGGCAATTTACAAAAGAAAGAGGTTTAATAGACTCACAGTTCAACATGGCTGGAGCAGCCTCACAATCATGGCAGAAGGCAAAGAGGAGCAAGTCATGTCTTACATGGATGGCAGCAGGCAAAGAGAGAGAACTTGTGCAGGGGAACCCCTCTTTATAAAGGCATCAGATCTCATGAGACTTATTCACTATCACAAGAACAGCATGGAAAAGACCTTCCTCCATGATTCAGTTACCTCCCACCAGGTCCCACCAACAACATGTAGGAATTCAAGATGAGATTTGGGTAGGGACACAGCCAAACCATATCATTCCACTGCTGGCCCCTCCCATATCTCATGTCTTCACATTTAAAAACAAACCATGCCTTCTCAACAGTCCCCTAAAGTCTTAACTCATTTCAGCATTAACTCAAAAGTCCACAGTCCAAAGTCTCATCTGAGACAAGGCAAGTCTCTTCTGCCTATGAGCCTGTAAAATCAAAAGCAAGTTAGTAACTTCGTAGATACAATGGGGGTACAGGCATTGGATAAATACAGCCATTCCAAATGGGAGAAATTGGCCAAAACAAAGGGGCTACAGGCCCCATGCAAGTCTGAAATCCAGTGGGGCAGTCAAATCTTAAAGCTCCAAAATGATCTCCTTTGACTCCATGTCTCACATCCAGGTCATGCTGATGCAAAAGATGGTTCTCATGGTCTTGGACAGCTCTGCCCCTGTGGCTTTTCAGGGTACAGCCTCCCTCCCAGCTGCTTTCATGGGCTGGCATTGAGTGTCTGTGGTTTTTCCAGGCAAAGGGTAAAAGATGTCAGTGAATCTACTGTTCTGGAGTCTGGAGGATGGTGGCCTTCTTTTCACAGCTCCACTAGGCAGTGCCCCAGTAAATACTCTGTGTGGGGTCTCTGACCCTGCATTTTCCTTCTGCACTGCCCTAGCAGAGGTTCTCCATGAGGGCACCGCCCCTGCAGCAAACTCCTGCCTGGGCATCCAGACATTTCCATACATCTTCTGAAATCCAGCAGAGATTCCCAAACCCCAATTTTTAACTTCTGGGCACTCACAGGTTCAACACCACATGCAAGCTGCCAAAACTTGGGGCTTGCATCCTCTGAAGCCATGGCCCAAGCTCTACTTTGCCCCTTTAAGCCACAGCTGGAGTGGCTGGGATGCAGGGCACCCTGAGTCTGGCCCACAAAACCATTATTTCCTCCTAGGCCTCCAGGCCTGTGATTGGAGGAGCTGCCTTGAAGCTGCCCTGGAGACATTGTCCCTATTGTCTTGGGGATTAACATTTGGCTCCTTGTTGCTTGTGCATAGTTTTGCAGCTGGCTTGAATTTCTCCTCAGAAAATAGGATTTTCTTTTCTATTGCATTGTCAGGCTGCAAATTTTCTGAACTTTTATGCTGTGCTTCCCTTATAAAACTGAATGCCTTTAACAGCACCTATGTCACTCCTTGAATGATTTGCTGCTTAGAAATTTCTTCTGCAGGCTGGGGCATGGTGGCTAACGCCTGTAATCCAGCACTTTGGGAGGCCAAGGCAGGTGGATCACCTGATGTTGGGAGTTTGAGACCAGCCTGACCAACATGGAGAAACCCCATCTCTACTAAAAATACAAAATTAGCCATGCCTGTAATCCCCGCTACTCGGGAGGCTGAGGCAGGAGAATCGATTGAACTCGGGAGCTGAGATCATGCCATTGCACTCCAGCCTGGGCAGCAAGCGCAAAACTTTGTCTCAAAAAAAAAAGAAAAGAAAAGAAATTTCTTCTGCTGGATACACTAAATCACCTCTCTCAAGTTCAAAATTCCACAAATCTCGAGGGCAGGGGCAAAATGCCGCCAGTCTCTTTGCTAAAACATGAACAGAGTTACCTTTGCTTCAGTTCCCAACAAGTTCTTCCTCTCCATCTGAGACCACCTCATCCTGGCTTTCATTGTCCATGTCATTATCAGCAGCATTCTGGTCAAAGCCATGTAACAAGTCTTTAGGGAGTTCCAAACTTTCCCACATTTTCTGTCTTCTTCTGAGCCCTCCAAACTGTTCCAACCTCTGCCCTTTACCCAGTTCCAATGTTGCTTCCACATTTTTGGGTATCTTTTCAGCAGTGCCCCACTCTACTGGTACCAATTTACTTTATTAGTCTGTTCTCATGCTGCTGATAAAGACATATCCAAGTCTGGGCAATTTACAAAAGAAAGAGTTTTAATGGACTTACAATTCCACATGGCTGAGAGACGCCTCACAATCATGGAAGAAGGCAAGGAGGAGCAAGTCATATTTTACATGAATGGCCACAAGCAAACAGAGACAACTTAAGCAGGGGAACTCTGCTTTATAAAAGCATCACATTTTGTGAGACTTATTCACTATCACGAGAACAGCACGGGAAAGATTTGCCCCCATGATTCATTTACCTCCCACCAGATCCTCCCACACAATACATGAGAATTCAAGATGAGCAAGATGAGATTTGTGTGGGAATACAGCCAAACCATATCAAAGGCCTTCATCAAAAAGCAGAAAAATTAAAAGTCAACAACATAATGTACCCAAAAGAACTAGAAAAGCAAGAGCAAATCAAATCCAAAATTAGTAGAAGAAAATAATAAGATCAGAGCACAACTAGAGACCAAAAAATACAAAAAGCCAAATAAAATAAAGGTAGTTTTTTAAAAGATAAATGAAATTGATAAATGGTTAGCTAGAGTAACCAAGAAAAGACCCAAATAATTACAATGAGAAATAAAAAGGAGGCATTACAATTGTTATTTTGGTTATAGAAAACATTATCAGAGACTATTATGAACATATATACACTTATAAACTAGAAAACTTAGAGGAAATGGATAAATTTCTGGGAACATACAACCTCTCAAGATTGAATCAAAAGTAAATAGAAAATTATAAGAGACTGATAGCAAATAGTGAGATTGAATTAGTAATAAATCTCCCAACAAAGTAAAGTTCATGACCAGATGGATTTACAGCCAAATTCTACCAAATATACAAAGGAGAACTAATACAAATCCTCTTGAGACTGCTCCAAGAAATCAAGGAAGAGAGAATTCTCTCTAATTCAATGAGGCCAGTATTACACTGATACCAAAACCAGACAAGGACAGAAAAACAACAACAAAAACTACAGACCAATATACTGATGAACCTATATGCAAACATTCTCAACAAAATACTGAAAACCAAATTCAACAAAACATTTTAAAAAACACAATAAAGTAAGTTTTATACAGCAATGCAAGGGTGGTTAAACATATGCAAATCAATAAATTTGGTACATACATCAACAGAATGAAGGACAAACCCATGTAATCATCTCAATAGAAGCAAAAAAGTATTTGATAAAATTCAACATCTCTTTGTGATAAACCCTCAGCAAACCAGATATAGAAGGATTGTGTCTCAAAGTAATAATTGCCATATATGACAAACCCACAGCCAATATAACACTGAATGGAGAAATGTTGAAAACATTCCCTTTAGAAACTGGAATGAGATAAGGATGCTAATTTTCACCACTCCTATTCAACATTGTACTAGAAGTCTTAGCCAGAGAAATCAGGTAAGGAAAAGAAAAAAAGTCATCCAAATTGGAAAAGAGAAGGTCAGATTATTCTTGTTTGCTGATGGTACAATCTTATGTCTAGAATAACCTTATAATTCCACCACGAAAACTCTTAGATTTGATCACTGAATTCAATAAAGTTGCAGGATAAAAATTGACATATAGAAATCAGTCATGTTTCTATATACCAGTAACCTAGCTGACAAGATCAAGAAATCAATCACATTTACAACAGCTACAAAAAAATTACCTAGGAATATATTTAACCAAGGAGATAAAAAACCTCTAAGAGGACAATTACAAAACATTGATGAAAGAAATAGTAGGTGACACAAATCGAAAAACATCCCAAACTCATGAGTCAGAAGAGTTAATATCATTAAAATGACCATAACATCCAAAGTAATCTATAGCTTCAATTCAGTCCCTATCAAAATACCATAATTTCCCTCAGAATTAGAAAAATAGAATTGTAACATTTATATGGAACCAAAAAGGACTCCAAATAGCCAAAAGAATTCTAAGCAAGAAAAAGTTGGAGGCATTGCATTACCTGACTTCAAGTTAGATTACAAAGCTACAGTAACCAAAACAGCATGGTACTATTATAAAATAAACACATATATCAACAGAACAAAATAAATTGTCATGGGGGAAGAATAAAGCTATATCTATATCTCTCACCATATACAAAAATCAACACAATATGGATTAGAGACTTAAATGTAAGACCCCAAACTGTAAAAACACTGGAAGTAAACACAGGGAAAACTCTTCTGGACATTAGGCAAAAAATTTATGATGAAGATTTCAAAAGCACAGGCAATAAAAATAAAAACAGACAAATGGGACTTAAATAAACTAAAAAACTTCTGCAAAGCAAAAGAAATAATCAACAGGGTAAATAGATAACCTGCAGAATGAGATAAAATATTTGCAAACTGTTCCCAAGATGAGGGACGAATATCCAGAATTTACAAGAAACTCAAACAACTCAATAACAACAAAAAATAATAGCCTTAGAAAGTGGGCAAAGGACATGAACAGAATTTTTTCAAAAGCAAACTGACAAATGGTTAACAGATTATATATATATATATATAAAATGCTCAAGATTACTAATTACTAGAGTAAAGCAAATTAAAACTACAATGAGATATCGTCTTACAACAGTCAGAATGGCTAGCATTAAAGTCAAGAAACAACAGATGTTGGTGAGGATGCAGTGAAAAGGGAACTCTCATATATTGTTGGTAGGAATGTGAATTAGTACAATCTCTCTGGAAGACAGTATAGAGATTTCTCAAAGAACAAAAAAATGTAACTGTAACTCAATCCAGCAATTTCACTACTTGTCTTCTACTCAAAAGAAAATAAATCAGTATATCAAAATGATACTTGCAGTGGAATGTCTATCACAGCACTATTCACAGTAGGAAAGATATGAAATCAATGAAATCAACCTAAGTGTCTATCATTGTATGATTTGATAAAGAAAATGTGGCATATACCCACTATGGATTACTATTCAGCCATAAAAGAATGAAATTATGTCTTTTGCAGCACCATGAGTAGAACTGGAGGTCATTATTTTAAGTGAAACAAGCCAGACACAGAAAGACAAATATCCTATGTTCTCACTCATAAATGGGTGCTAAAAAATGTACACACATTGATGTAAAGAGTGGAATTATAGACAATGGATAAGGACCCACAGACCCTCTGAAGGAAATGGACTTTTCCTGAAGGACCTGGGAGAGACCCCAAATACTGCGAGTGCCCCAACTGCAGAAGTGGGAAAGGGAGACCCTCCTCTCCGGAACACACACCCCCAGTGGAGAAACTTAAAGCCTGTTTGCGAGAGAAGCTTCTGACCTTACCTTGAGATGAGTCAATTTAGAGAGCCGGGTGAAATACAGGGGTAGAAGAAGCAGCAGAAAGGCCCTGGGAACTCGCTGGGTCCCCAAACAGTTCATTCCTGCCTGGCATCACAAAGATCCGTCAGGAGGGAAGCCAGAGGAGCAGGGGATAAAGCGCCACAGGAAGAAGGAAATCTCTAGGTGAACTTTGTAACAATTTGAACTGGGTGAGAACAGGGTGAGAAACCTCATGGCCAGAACTCGGGGGAGGGGGCAAATCCCAGTGTGCAGACTTCACAGCCCTTTTCTTTTGCAGCTGGGAGGTGGGTAGCCTGAGGCAAGTTCTCAAGCCCATCTCGCTCACCATCTGTAAACAGACTTGGGGCTGTTGGGGGTACCCAGTGAGAGTGAGACCAGCCCTTCGGTTTGCGGTTTGCGTGAGAGCAGAGTGAGGCCTGTGACTGCTGGCTTTCTCCACTTCCCTGACAACCTGCATGACTCAGCAGAAGCAGCCATAATCCTCCTAGGTACACAACTCCAGTGAGCTGGGAATCTCACCCCCATCCCCCACAGCAGCCACAGCAAGACCCATTCAAGTAGCGTGTGAGCTCAGACACACCTAGCCCTGCCCCAACCTGATGGTCCTTCCCTACCCACTCTGGTAGTGAAAGACAAAGGGCAACAATCTTAATAATCCTGTTGCTTTTGTTGAGATTCTTTGCCAAGTACTTCCTATCTCAACAAACTTGTTCATTTGCCATCTTTGTAAACAATCTCTACATGGTGGAATGAGGTGTAGGGGTTTAGGAAAGATGGTATCAGGGTGGTGGGAAAGAGACTAGAGGAATCACATCTCTTTTTCTTACAGCACAAATTCCTTAAAAAATTATGCTTCAGTGCTTTAATGTTCAATGTTCCACACCAAATGTTTACATTAAAATGTAACATAAAATATCACTGGACTTGATAAACCACTGACCCATTTTCTGGTGGTATAAGAACTCTCTTAGGAGCTAGTGGCCTTTCTGCTTCTTTGAAATCTTGTACAGAGAGTAATGTTCCAGAAGTCAATGAAGACTGAAGCTCCATGAAAAGGGCTTCTTTTTAACTCAATAACTTGCCGTAAAATAATCTGACCCACATTGACAATATGCATCATAGATATTCTATACTTGGTAATTATCCAGTAATGACAGGCAATTTACATTAATTAGGGTAATTATTATTAATTTTATAAAGTCAAACCTAACTTTTTGTTTACCTTTTCTTTGGTAATTTTCTGAAATCTAAAAGTCAAATGAATGTGAAAAACATTTCCCCTGAATGTTTATGTATTTTACTTTCCTCATGCTCTCTTATATACACAGCTGCTGGATATTAATTCCCATTATAAGCCACAATTTTGCTCACAGCACTCTTCTAAAACTGTTCTAATAAAGGTTACCAATGACTAAAAATAACCAAAGAAGGTTTACATTTTGATTAAAAATTCTAGGGCTTAATTATCATTTATATAACATTTGCCTTGGGTGACTGTACTTGGCTTTTGGAAACATTTTTTCTCGACTTGTCTTCCACGATACTATCTTCTGAGTTTCTTCCTAGTTCTGATTATGTTTTCTAATCATGATCTCCCTTTCACTTGCCTTTAAGTGATCATATTGCACAGAAATCTTTCAATTATCCTCATTTTTTTTGTAATCTTATCTCTTCTAATAAATTCAACTTGCACCTATATGCTGAAACTCTAATACCTTTACCTTTCAGTTGTGATATTTCTTCCTAACTGCAGACCTATATTTCCTTTTGAACATATCAAGTATATGATGAAGGTAAATATATTTGTTCAAAACTTATCTCATTATCTGCTTTTACTCAAGCGGGTCCCCTGACTGTTTTTCTAAGTACAAATTGTAAACACAATAGTTTTACAAGTTAAAAGCAACATAAAATGTAATCTTTCATTATCCATTTTGCTAATCGCTTCTGCCGTCATCTAGCTAAAACAAATACATTCTCAAGCATTAAAAATCTCAAGTATATAGCACTTATGAGTCCTTGGAAAATAAAACTATTTGACTACAAATTTCAGCCAACCAATAAGCAGATCAAAATTACAGTCTCAGGAATGATGAAGCTATGTGAAAGAATACTAAAATTCAATCTAAATCTAAGTAATTACAAAAATAAATCTTGGATCCATAAGAAATACAACTGACATAATTCTAGACAAAATATAAAATGTTAATATATTGTGGCATGGAGGGAGTGAAAAAATAGGAGAAAATGTACTTTTTTTGTAGTATTTAAATATTTTAGAGTTGGTAATAAATAAAGGTTTACTTATATGATTTGAAGTGTTAATAGTATCCATTACAAAATCAAAAGAAGAAAATAAAACTTCAATGTAATTTGATGGGGAAAAAAAATCACACTCAAAGTAGATAATAGAGACCACGTGCCAAATAATAGGAAAAAAATGAAGATTAAAAATTAAAAAAATGAAATGACCAAATTTAAATGTTTGTTTATAACAATAAATGTAAAGAAGATATCTATTAAAATAAAAAGGCACTCAGTTTGTATAATAAAACAAAATTTTATGTTATATAAAAAACTCAGATATAAAATTATTTCAATATAAGGAAGATCTTTAAAAATTTGTTAAATCTTTATATTGATTCCTTATTTCATAAAGCCATTAAATTCTAATTAAAATAAGAATGAATGGAAATTTTCCTACAGTGATTTTTATAATAAAACCCAACTATACGATATAAAAAGATTCATCAGAAATAAAATTATTACAAAATGAGCTAGATGCTTTAAAAATTTGTTAAACTTTAATATCTATCCCTTATTTTTAAAAAGTCCATTGAAAAACTCTAAGTAAAATATGAACAGATGAAAATTGTCCTACCATGATTTTGTTTAAAATCAGATGAACCACTAGAATCATTTTCATTTAAGTCAGCCATAAAACATGTGCCCAATATTGCCTCTGTAGTTTAATCTTGTTCTGAGTGTACCAAACAATATATTTAGACATGCAACTAAAATAAGTGGTATAAATATTTAATGGCTTAAAACAACACATTTCTTATTATATTTTGTGATTCTGAGTGGCTCAGCTGAGTGGTTCTTGCATGCATTTCTTCACCCAGGTAAGATTAGTTCTTGGGTGGGTATATGACCATCTGAAGGCTCAGCTGGGCTGATCATTTAAGATGGCTTACTCACAAGGCTGGCAGTTGAAGCTGACCATTGGCTGGAAGCCTAGCTGTGGCTAACAGCCAGAGAGCTTCCATCTCAGATTTCATAGGCTTCTCACAGTATGGTGATTGAGTTCTGAGAGGGAGTGTTCCAAATCACAGAGGTAGAAGCTGCTAAGCCAAATAAGGTGTCTATGCCCATAACCAACACAGTTTCATTTTGTTACATTCTTTTGATGAAATCAGTCAGAGAGCCTAGCCAGCATCAGGAAGTGGAGACAAAAACTCCACTTCTTAATGCAGACAACTTAATAAAGACACCTCACAGAATAACCTGTTATATAGAGATGTTTTCTGCAGCTTCCTTTGAAAACACAATCTATTACTCTTAGTAATAAGCCTAGCATGACATTTGCAACATCGAAATTAGAAAATTTTGGAGACCATGCCGAAGATCACCAAAAAAGTCTTTAAATGGAAAGATTTAAGTGGAAAGATATTTTCCTTAGATAGGAAAATTATTATAAACATGGCAATAGTTTCTAAATTAATCTTTAACCTCAATTTAATCTCTCTGTTTAATTAAAATAACATGTTTTTAACATGACAGGATTAGTTTAAAGTTCATGTAGAAAAATATGCACATAATGCTGGAAAACTCTAAAAGGAAAAAAACTGAGAATAAAATCAGTAATTAAAATGATTAACATATATACACATATGTATATATGTGTGTACATATGCATGCAAATAAAGACTCATCAGTGGGAAAATAATAACATTCTATTTCAGAATTTTAGGATATATTGAAATCTAATTATTTCAAAGCAGTAATTAAAATATGCTTTTGAACAAATTATGTAGGAAGACTAAAAAACAAATTGGGGTACAAATTTTAAATATCTGTTATATGGAAAACACCCATAAACAAAATCCAATGACAAACAGAAAAATGAGAAAAATATTGCTATGCACAGGACAAAAATCTAAATTTTAGAAAAATTCAAAGAATTCTTTTCTCATTTCTATTCTACAACAGTTTTTTTACAAAAGGTTTCTAGGCTTCTACTCTGGCCTCCTTTGCTTTTCCCGATAACAGACTGCCTACATAATTTTCAGGCACAGTGCAAAATGAAAATGTGGGCTTTTTATTAATAAATTATTTTGTATTTCAGTACGGTCACAGCAGAGCATTAAGCCTAGTACAGGGCACTTCTAAGCGTAGGGCTCAGAGCAACTGCACAGATCACACAAGCATGAAGCTGATCCTGTCCCACAATATCTTTTAAAAGTATAAATCATCTGACAAGTGTGTCATGACATTAAATGGTTGAAAGCATGATCTTTTCAACAAATGGTACTGGACAACTGGATACCCACATGCAAAAAAAATAAAGTTAGACACTTGCCTTACATCTTTAAAAAAATTCACTCAAAATGAATTCTAGAACTAAATGAAGGGCTAAAGCTGGAAAATTCTTAGAAGGAAACAGAGGAGTAAATCTTCATGAGCTTGAGTTAGAGAATGTTTTCTTAGATATGATACCAAAAGCACAAACAGCAAAAAAATAAATAAATTAGACTTTATCATAATTAAGAAAAATTATGCTGCAAATGATACTATCAAGAAAGTAAAAAGACAGAATGGGAGAAAATGTTTGCAAATCATATATATGATAAGCACCTTGTATCCAGGATATATGTTCTTATAGCTCAGTAATAAAAAGACAACCCAATTTCAAAATGAGCAACTCTAAAAAAGTAATGGCCAATAGGCACATGGAAAGATGCTTAACACATTATTCATTAGGGAAATTCAAATTAAATAATGAGATATAACTTTATATCCACTAAGGTGGCTATAATAAAAAAAGATGATAGCAAGCATTGGCAAGGCTGTGGAAAAATTAGAACCCTCATATACTACTGGTATAAATGTAAAGTGGTACACCTACTTTAGAAAAACAGCTCCACAGTTCTTAAAATGTTAAATATAGAGTTTATAAATATGAAGTATAAAACTGTTAAATACCAGTACCCGTGCATGTGTGTGTATGTAAACCCAAAACAGATCATACCACTCTTGTGCTCAAAGCCCTCTAATGGCTTCCTATTGCACTTTGCATAAAATTCAAACTTTCCTTCTGTAAATTTTAGTATGACCAGATATCTGCCTAATTTCTCCAGTCCCATCTCCTACTATTCTCCTTCTGGATCTGCTACTGCAGCTACTCTGACATCCTTGTTTTCCCTGAAGGCAGCAAGTTCTTTCCTGCCTCAGGGCCTTTGTACTTACATTTCCCCTTCTTCAAAAAGCTTTTACCCAGATCTTTGCATGGCTCTGTCTCTCCCTTCATTCAGGTGGGTCTCTTCTTCAATTATCATCCTATCTAAAGCAAACTCCTGTCTTACTCTTCTCCTGCTTTATTTTTTCTCATTGCACTTTTCACTACATGATGCTAAATGTTCTATTTTTATTTATATGATAGCTGCATTTCCACTAAAGGCAGTTTCATGAAGGCAAAGATTTTGTCTGCCTCATCCACTGCTAACAATATCTACAGCTCCTGCAACAGTGCCTGGCACATTGTAAGTACACAGTACTACTGACTGAATCAGAGTAAAATCAATTTTTATAAGTTTTTAAGAAAAAAGACAAACTATACAATAATACTTTATTCCTGAGTTATGTCATTATGAGAATATTAGTAATAGCTGTTTAAATTTCTTTGTTTTTAAATAGGCTGTGAGGACTCCAAGGGCAGAAAGAGGGTTTTATTCAATGATTTACCCTCTGTGAGTGGCACATTGTGATATCTGAAAAATTCTTTCAGTTGAAGGCAGGAAACTTTCATAGCCAGATTTATAAAGTCACTATTCTCTATCCAATGGCTCAGTTTTGTGTCTTCCTTTTTGTTTTTCCATACCCATTTCCCTTCTAAACATGTCTTTTTGAATAGTACTGTCAGTAGCCTGTAGGAAACTCAATCTTCCATGGTATTCGTTCTTAAAACTTAAAGGCAGCAAAAGCAGTGAGGCTTGAATCAATAGCAACTATAATAATATTCTAGCAAATAGTAATTGACTGCATGCTGTGCATCTGGCAGAGTGTAAAGCTTCAAAATTTTTTTCCAGGCTAATTGGGATATCCATTATCTTAAATTAATTATTTATCTCTTTATGGTAGCAACATTTGAATTTTTCTCTTCTAGCTATCTCAAAATGTATACTAGGTTAATGTTAGCTATAGTTACCCTACTGATCTAATGAAAACAGGTCTTATTTCTTCTATCTAACTGTATAATTGTACCCATTAATCAATCTCTCTTCATCCTTCCCTCCCTGTTTCCTTTCTTGGTCTTTGGTAAGCACCATTCTGCTGTGTATCTTCCTGAGATCCATGTTTTTAGCAGCCACTTATGAGGGAGAACAATCACTTTGTATGGGGTAAGTGCAAATTTTGTCCATTGTACTGCTTGGCCCAAGAGGGTATATTTAGTAGATGGTAAGGCTGGGATTTGAACCCAAGGTCAGACCTTATAACTAGTAGTCTCTCAGGCCTTATAGCTGTTTCACCACATTCATTACTACATTTTGAGACGATAAAGAGCAAGACACAACTCCCCAAGAGACACCTGGATATAATCAGGGAAGGGTTTGGAGTAGCTGGACATATTATCATAATATATAGTATTTACATTATTGTGATTCTGTTGTTTTTAGTTCCTAGACTGGTGTATCTGAAAAAACATAATTTATGCATCTCCTTGTTATCATTCCATAAATCACATGTAAATAAATTCTTGAGTAGGATATTTTCCCCCTCTTCTCAGAGCTGACACTAAACCACCAAAGCTGTGTCAAGAACTTCCACATTATCAAGATGGCTGATGGGTATGACTCCACCAGCCTTAATAAGGCAGCAGAACTGACTTCATGCAAACATTCATCTTTCCTCATCTTCACTCTACTGCCATCCAAATCTCCCGAGGCAGAGAGGATTAGAGAAACTCTGCCCTAGTTACTAAAAAATATATTTACCTTTCAGCTAACTCTGGAAGACCAGAACCATAGAGGCCAGGGGGCAGAGCTGAGGTGTGTCATCCATTTGCTTAGTTCATGCCGTGTACATGCAGCCTCTGTTTGTCATTTCTCCCATTTATTTTTGTCTATCTTGGATTAACTGTTGAGTAAAACATTTCTTATTTCATGCTATCCAAAAATGGTATTTTATTTTTCAAATATAACATGCAATTTTATTTTTTTTTCAAAACCCAACTCTACCTTTTGCACCTAAGTTAGCTGAAAAATTATTCATTTTGCTTTTTGTAAATATCTAAATATATCAATTAGCACTTTTGTTGCAAACATCAGAAAATCCAACTGGAATGGATGTAGGCTTAAAAGGAAGTGTTTGGCTTATATAACTCAATATGACAGGTATAGTGCCAGACTGAGAGAGGGCATGATCTACATACTTATGCAAGAGTTCATTTTCCAACTCCTGGGTCTGCACTAGTGCATTTGTGCTTCGTTTCTATGAGATCCTAATTGATCAAGCTTTACATCCTCCCAACGCCATATTTTCAATAATTTCTCTTCCAGTCTTTCACAACTGAGATTCATTTCAGAGCTTTAAATCCTGATGCCTTAAGACATTAATAGATGCAGCTATGTAAAGAATTAACTTTCTCAGTATTTTGGGTGGTACAATTTGGGTACTATCTTTGGGAAAGCAGTTGCTGAAATCATTTTCTGTGCTGTAATTCAGATGAGGATCCCTGGCTGAGATAGGCTGAGAGACTTCTAAATATAGCTGTATCTAACGCTTAATGGTTTGAATGATGTGAAATAATCCTCCCTAATTCAATCATTGTGGCCAGAAGGACAAAATATACAGAGAGGCACATCCTAACTCATAAACACACATGAGAATCAGGGAAAGAGTTAAATCTAATTTCATATGTATATTATGACTGGAGGAATAGTGGTTCCAGGAAAGAAATTCAAGACATTACTAACCAAAGATGGTGGTGGTTAAAGAGAAAAATAAATGTTTACCACAGTATATTCAAACATACATACATTCTTTTAATTTCATTATTTAGTAGGCTTTTTTTTTTTGCCCTGTCAATTTATAGCACAGTATTGGTTAGAAACTTACTTTCTGAATTTATTTTCTATTTTAAGCTCCTTAATCATTGATGAGTTTTCCTTTCATAATTTGATGTTACATATTCCTGAAACAGAGCTTGTACTAGTAATGATGGCAAAATATTGTCTTCAGTGATTTGAGACTTTACAACATAATGAACGTAAACTATATGAAGCAAACTATAATAAGAAAGAACTTGTAAATGATGCCAATACTTCTAATTGGTAAGGAATATGATAATATTTTTCCTTGAGGAGAGAAACAAAGAATGTCATTTTTCCCTCTTACAAATTTCACCATTTTTCTTTTTTTTCAACATTCTCACATATTTCCTTTCGTTTCATGTCAGATGCAATTTCTCAAGCAGAACAAGGGCAAACTCTTTTCATTTCCACATGGTCACTCCTGTTCAGTGTGGTTATAAATGAAATGAAAGCATATTGTACAATAGGACCGCACATGTACTGTAATACCAGAAAATGATTTTGATACACAGCAACAAATGTTATGTATATCTAGGCCTTCTATGACTTTTTAGTCTCACATGGACACACAAAAAAGATGTTCCTTACTCTAAGGAAAATGCTAAAAAAGACACTACCAAATGGCAGGCAGAATTTAAATTCAAAGATAATATATACACCAAGAAATCTTAAACATCTAGGCAAGAAAGAGTGCTAAAATAGTGCGTTATCCCTATGTAGTCAAATGGGATTTAGCCATGGTGAATCGCTTGACTCATTCAGCCATGTGTAATAGGCCAATTAAAATGCTTAAATTGGCAAATTCTCAAAAGAGCAAATATTTAATCCAATGTGGATTCTCATCCAACTTATCTGTGATACCGCATAAATAGAGCAAAAATAGGGAAAGGCAAAGAGCAAATGGGGATTTAAAGATCAACAAGCCTCTATTGTGTATCTGGCTTAGCAAACAAAATAGCAGATAAGAAGAGTTCACATGGATCATGCTTTATGTTTCCAGTCTTAGATATAACATGTTTTTAATTTATTTAATAAATACTTATTATCCATCTACTATCTTCTAAGTACTATTTTAGGCACTAAGTTTGTAGTGAGCAAAAATTCTCCAAATCCCTGCTTTCACGGTGTCTGTGAAAGACAGAAATTAAAGCAAACAGGTCATGTCAATAGTGGTAGTTGGTGAAAAGGGCTCTAGAGAAAAATAAAGCCAGAAATCAAGATTTAGTTTGGTGGGTAGGGGGGCAGGTGGTTAATTTTAACTAGGAGACCATATAATACCCTACTGGGAAGGGGTGATTTGAGAGAGACATGAAAAAGTGAGGGAATTAGCCATGTGGACATACGGGCAAGACGTTTTAAGGAAGAAGAAACAACAAGTACAGAATCCTTGGATTAAGAGAGTTCTTAGTGTAAAAAAGGAATAGCAAATAAAAATATCTCTGGCTGACCTGAAGTGAGCAAAGGGAGAGAGTTAGAAAATGAGGACAACCAGATTTCATAAGGCTTTGGAGATCATAGTAGGGAATGATTCTCTGAGCAAAAGAAGGAGGTATTGGTCCATCATAGGAGTGAATGATCTGCTTAGGTTTTAATACATTGCTCTGGCACCATGTGAAGATAGACTCCAGGGGCAATGGCAGAGAAATGGGAAAGGAAAAAAGTAAGCTGTAAAGATCAGCAAGTTTTCCTAACTGTTCAGCAAACCAAAGTAGAAATGATAGTGATTTGGAAGAAGATACAAGATGGGTCTCAATTCAACACAACTTGATTGCAATTGCTGTGAGGTTAATATTTCTTCTGTACTTTTAACAACAGTATATATTGACTATTCATCTGAAAAATAGTGTTGTGTTGTAGTCCTCTACTATTCCACCGTATTCCATATATTTACAAGGATATATAGCTGCTTACAATAAAGATATTTTCCAGCTTCTCTTGCTGTCAGGTATCATCTCATTACTAAGTTTCAGCCAATGGAACATGAGAAGTACTTGTGCATCTTCTGGGAAGTATGTTTTAAGGAAGGAAGTACTTTCTCTTTTCTTTCCATATGGACATAATGACTGGAGCAAAAGAAGCCATTTGGGAACATCATGTAACCTTGGGAATAGCAGCGACTCATGTCAGAGAAACAACAGGAAAAGAACTAAGCCCCAAAGGAATTTATAAATCAGAACTTCCATATGCAAGCAGACTATATCAGTACTAATTCTAATTGAATTAGATTCATTCTGGAACAGATACCCAGATGTTACCATATACTTGTCTATATCATTTGGTTTGGAAACAAACAGTAATTTGACTCAAGGTGATAATAGCTCTATTCTTTTCATGTTGGAGTAGATGGGACCATAGTATTATCTACAGAGTAATAATTTTCAAAGTTTCATTCATTTTCAGTGTTTGCTGTTTAAAGGTACTATAGACTTTGCTGTGAAAATAATTAATCCTCAACTTTTCCTATTAGCACAGAGAGGAATGTGTCTTTTGTTATATTTTATTGAGGCTTTACAAACAAAATTCTCCTTTAGGGTATCAATATTTTGGACAATGCAAGTTCAACATTAGATTTTCTTGATGATGTAGAAATGGTAAAACCCCATGAAAAGAGCCCAAGGCTTAGCTGTCAAGAAAGTTGCCATGTGGCTCAAAGAGTCTTGTTTTAACTTCTAGGCTTATATTGAAAACTCTGGCTATAGGAAAATTCAAAAGAAGTTCTTATGTTTTCTGTGTGTATGTCATTATCTGCTGTGTCTTTGTTAGGAGAGCTTCTCCTTTCCCACAAATACCTTCCGTGTTTGTTTTCAGTATTCCGTTTCATTAGTCAAATGGTTGACTGCTGAATGGTTGATTCACCATCAATGCATTACTTACAATGTAAAGATGGCTAGTCAAGATATTGTTAACCAGGAAAAGCTCTTAAATGAAGCTGTGGCATTTCCAAAGATTTTTCCTTTTCTTCCACCATAGTCTCCTCCTGCCAAGTAATATTCTGACAACTTCTGGGGCTATCACCCTCTGGCCACAACATTTTGGTTGATACCAAGGGTCGTAAGTGATTTCAACCATACAGTATCCCATCTCTTTGAAAGGGGTGTGAATGTAACCTGAAACTTCATGGAAAATAAATGGCATGGTAATCACAGGCATGTGGAAATTTTATGTAAATAGAGCTGTTGCCAATCTCTGTCTCTCTGTCTCTGTAGCTCTTTCTGTTGTCTAGATGAAGCCTTTAAAAAATGTAATTAGATTTCACTGCAACTGATAATTTGGTCTCCTCCCTCAGTTATTTGGCTTTTGACCATTTTTATCATTAAGGTTTCAACTAAAACAAAACTTGCTTCCTGAGCAATATCCTATTTAAATTGCTATCTAGATAAACCTGCTGGAAAATATTGGACATACTTATTAGTTGGATTATATGTCAAAGTGCTATTTTAATTAAGCTTGATAGTTTGAGTTATGTGTGGCTCCTTCAGTTATCTAACTAGATATTCTTGTCATTCAGTGTATATCATTGGTATCTTTTATGAATTATTTTAGTCTCTACGTATATCTATGAATATGACATTATTTTATTAAGAGAAATTTAACCAATAGTTTTTCTATTTACATAAAGGAATACCTATTGGATGGTTTCTGTGTGCCATGCCCTCTGCTAGCTATTGAGGCTAACAAGAAACACATAATTCTCATTTTCCTGAAGCTCACAGACTAGAGTATAGTGACTATCTAGTTCAATTATTCAATTGATCAGTGAGAAATATAGGGCCCAGGGAAGGTAAATGACTTTTTTGGGATCATGCAACTGGAATCCAAGCCAGGACCAAAATTCGTATCTCCTGACCATCTGTCTATCCAGTTCGATTTCCAGTTTGACAACTTTCTGACACTCCCTATCCAACCTGGTTGTTTTAAAGGAAAGCACAGGAAATGAAAAGCCTGTGTGCTCAGTCCATTTCCCTTCTTTCTGAAAATTCCAAATAGCTTTTTCGCAGCCTTCTATTCTAAGCCTAAATCCTGTTCTTTTTGCTATCAGTAGCAAGTAATAGATAGGCTCTTTACACAGAGCTGGTAATCACTTCTTGATTGACTCTAGACCAAAATTAAACTTGCTCTTGCTAAGCAAGCTCATTGGCTTTATGAACAGAGACTTTTCAGTTATCCAAGACCATCATACCTGCTTCTGAAATGTCCTGTTTTCTCTGTTATTATGAACTGCTTCAGCATACTGCAGTTAACTGTTAGCACTCAGAAAAAAAATGAATTCTTTAACTTCTTAAATATAAGGATGTCTTTGAGAGGCCATGGCATATTTGATGAAAGTTTTTTAGTAGAAATTTTTTCTTTTTCGTCCAGATTTAAACAGTCTACAGTCAATTCCTCTGGAGCTACTTGTCATTTCTTATCTTCACTTTTTGCAGTGTGTGTGAACTCATGTCAGACTTTACTTTTACCTAGAGTAAAAAGAAAATGGTTATCAGTTCTTGGTCTTGCTTCTACTGCTGTATAAAAATAAGCTCACTTCTTTCCACACATGTAAGCAAAACTGTCTCCAAAAGGGGTTGGTCAGAGTTTTGAAAATAATGTAAGCAAATAACATTGCTATGTTTGAAGAATTTGTGAAATGTTCTGAGTTAAACCACTTTGAAAGGAGAAGCTCAGAAGAGAATAGGGAGTCAAATTTGCTTTCATACTGAGATTTCACGCAGTGTCTGCTGTGGACATCAGGAATTTGGCAGGGAGGGTCTGTGAGATGCTGTGAGGGTCCTTGTGATTAGAGCAATAGTGAGGAGAAGGAGGCCAGAAGGCTATATTCCAAACCAGGCAATATTGAGTTCCCCATATTTATACTCTTTAGTATATCTACCTATAGCAGGCAATGACAGTGAAGGAATTTCATGCAAGAGCAGCAAGCACCCATTAGGTTGAAAGCAGGGCAGGGTTAACAAACATATGTCATCATCAAATAGATATATTTGTATGTGTGTGTATATATATCTATTTGTATGTATGTATGTATATATATTTGTATGGGTGTACATACGTATATACACACACATACACATACATAGTGCTCTGCATGCGCTGAAAACTTGGGGGCCTATTGAAGATGTCATTTCTGTAGCCTATTTCTGGCTACTAGAAACATAGACTTCATGAGAACTCTGCAGCATTAGCCAATAAACCCTAAACAAAGATTGTCCAATCTGTGGACCACAGGCTGCATGTGGCCCAGGATGGCTTTATATGTGACCCAATGCAAATTCGTAAACTTTCTTAAAAAATTATGAATTTTTTTGTGATTTTTAAAAGCTAATCAGCTATTGTTAGTGTATTTTATGTGTGGCTCAAGACAATTCTTCTTCTTCCAATGTGGCCCAGGGAGGCCAAAAGATTGGACACACCTGCCCTAAACCATGATAATATTTAGGAGACCAAGAAGACATAACCTTGAACTCTCAGGCCAAATTATATGCCCCTAATGAATTTCCCATTTTGAAAACTTAGAGTAGTGTGACAAGCCATATGGCCCAGAGTGAAGCCTTTTATCTCTTTCTAAAGGTGGCATTCTGGCCCTGCTTGCCTCCGTTGTCTCTCCTCTCTCCTTCACATTCTCTTCTGACTTATTGAGTTACTCTCAGTTCCCTAAAAGCTCTGTGTCATGTCGTCAGGTTTTTTTTTTTTTTTTTCGTGGACACTTTCCTCTGTTTGATGCTCTATCTCCATACTCCCTATCAATCACTTCCATTCTTCATCTCTTTTCATATTTCAGTATATAGATGCATATATAGATGCACTTTTCTTTGGGAAAATGTTCTTTAAAGTCCCCAGGCTGTGTGAGATGCCCCTCAGCCTGATCCCACAGCCCTCAGTGTTAGATCTGTGTGAGCAGTTATTGAAGTTGTTTGTCAAAATTTCCTCTACTAGGATCCCCAGGAACCCAAATACCATGACTTCTTTGCCACTGAAACCCTGGATTGATACATCGTATGTAGATGCCCAGTAATTACTTGGTGAGTGACACAAAAGTTAGGCAAGCTCCTTAGAAGAGATGTAAGGGCAACTGCATTCCTTCATCCTTTCACTGTTGAATAATATTTATTGGTGCCTTCTACATGCAAAGAACCATTCTAGGCACTTGGTAAACAATAAATATAAGGTAAAGTCAGACACTAAGCTGTCCACCATCATGATATATGTAGTCTTGTTTTCTAAATATGTTATCAGAGAAAATCCATATTGAATAAATTATTCTGTGGTTTAAGGCAATATAAAAAATACAGAAAGAACTCAAGTGTCAGTAAAGGGAGGAAGTATTCAATTAAGAATCCTTTGTAATCATAACCTTTAGTACCTCCAAAAGAAGAATAACACAATTATCAATATCTTTCATTTCAGTTGAAAGATTATAACTTTTACCTAAATCTTTTTTAAAAACTATAATTTTCATAGAAAGTACAAAATTGAAGACAGAGGCTAAATTGAATCTATGTGTTTACTTTGAAATAAGGTTCTGTTTTTCTGTTTTTTTTAAACTTAATAAACTCAGCTATAAAATATTTTTAGTGAGAAGAGGTGATAGTGTTTGTCCCACCCTTAAGAGAGTCTTCCAGAAATACGCAATCATGGACACTTACCAGAAAAAGAAGACAAGAATAATTTAATGCCATTATTTAATTTTCATCAGGATAATTTTTCATCTAGCCACACATAGTTAGCTAGATTCCCTAAAGTTTTCTTTTGCTTGTAGCTCATATATATATGTAAGTATATTTTCCGCTTTAAAAATGTTACCCTTCAGTAGCCTACCACCAACTTTCTCTCTGTTTTTCAAATGCCAAAACTGGCCACTGGAAGGATCAAGAATTTTTCTGAATAAGCATCAGGGACTTTAATCTGAAATGTTTGCAGCAGAGGTGTCAGACTCTGAAAGCCTTCCAGATTGTTCTTTGTCAGTGACAACTCCCTGCAGAGGAGGTTAAGAGATTAATAGTGGATGAATCACATTTTAAATATCTTCTAACCAACTGTATTTAAGCTTATATCTGATACGATAACGTATTTAAAGGTGTTACATTTCTTCGAGGGCTTAATATAAATCGTGAGGACAAGTGTCATTTTTTCAAGTCCCACAGCTTTTCTCTCTTATATCCCACCCACGGTGGCAGAGTGTGTTGAGAAAGCAATAAGATTATGTGGCAACTTCAAAACAGGTAGAAGATTAAAAAGAGAAATATTTTGTTGGTTTTATTTTTAAAAGTATACTCGCCACCGTGTATAGTTTAGTTAATAAAATTCTAAGATAGCATGAGTATCCATCATGATAATATTGCTTTATGCTGTAACAGCCGCTGTTGCCTGATAATATCAAAAGGATTTGGAGATGATTACTTTAATGCCTTCTTATTCATTATATATAATATATACATATATTTCTCTCTTTCATACATATATATAGACAAACATATTAATATATAAATATATGTCTCATATATTTATAAAATATATTCATATATAAATATGTAAATATATGTATAACTTATATAAATATGTTTTTATAAGTAAATAATTTTATATCTGATATATAAACTATGAATTATATATTTTATTACATATAATATATACCCTAAAGAATAAATATATATTAAAAATATTTTTATATAATTTATATAATATAAGAGAAATAGTGGAAGCAAAAATCTAGAGTACAATTTTTTTTACTTCTTTTTTTTTTTTTTTTGGAGGTAGGGTCTTGCTCTGTTGCCCAGGCTAGAGTGCAGTGGCGAAATCTTGTCTCACTGCAACTTCCGCCTTCAGGGCTCAGGCCATGCTCCCCACTCAGCCTCCAGAGTAGCTGAGACTGCAGGTGTGCACCACCATGACCAGCTAAGTTTTTTTGTTTGTTTGTTTGTTTGTTTTAGTATTTTTTGTAGAACTGGGGTTTCACCATGTTCCCCAGGCTGGTCTTGAACTTGTGAGCCTGCCTCAGCCCCCCAAAGTGCTGCAATTATAGGCATGGGCCACCATGGCTGGTCAATATTTTTCTCCTTCTAATCTTAATCTTGTATTTTGAAGTATAATTTTTTTAAATCAACCTCTACCTTTTTCTGACAAAGGACGTTTGTATCTAAGTGTGTTGAGCTCTAAAATGCTTTAAACTGTAATAATTATCATAGTTCATAATGACTTCTGACAATATCTGACAACAACTATTTTAAGTGTTTGAGAGAACCCTGCCACCCCTGTTGACTTCCCTGCTCCTCTTACACCCGTTTCCATCATTTCTCTGCTTAAAAGTAACTTTTAATGTACATTTGCTCTGATGTGAGACCTTGCCTTTTATCAGGGCTGTCCTCACCCAGTAAAATGTCTCCTTTTGTCCCCAAATCCTTTCCTCTTGAAAGTAGCCCTTTGTTTCTCATTTAAACCACCCTACCAACTAGAGAGCAGTCTTAGGTATTCACTTGTTGAAGTAAGCCACTTCCTGTGACAGAGATATAAAACATGATAACAATGAAGCAAACCTTATTTGATCTCAAATAAAATTGTTTTAACTCTTCTGCCCTTTCTGATCACATAGCCCTAATCCAAACATCTAGTATAACTGCACAGCAAATGAATAAGTAGATTCAAACCAGCTGGAGTCTTACACCAACATACTGTCTAGGCATAAAACTGAGCCTTTAGGTAGAAACCAAGTCACGATGCAGCAAATGACATCCTGAGCTAGGAAACTGAGCTAAAAGGACCTTGGCAGCCTTCTTGGTATGTTTATTTGTGCACTACACAGATAAGCTCAGATGAAGGGTAGGCTGTGTGCTAGAGCTAGAAGTGTGGCCAACCTCCTGCTCTACTGGCTGTTGACTGCTAGAAGTGGGAGGAAAGTCCCAGAGAATGTGCTCATATCCCATCATTCATAGAGAAGACACATCAACAGCCATTACCAAAGTTGGTGAATAAAGAAATTGGGTTTTTGGCATATTATATAAAGTTAGTGATACAGCCAGTAGAACTGAAACCAAACAACAAACTATCATATTGCACATATACGTACAAATACAGAGAAAACAAAGCAAAAGCTTCATTTATTGAAAAAAGAATTTGAAACAGAAAACAGGATGCAAAAAAGGAACCTGAAGGAAACATTTCAGTATTTGCAAATGGGTTATATGCATATATTTATTAAAATAAACAGATTGGGCCGGGCGCTGTGGCTCACACCTGTAATCCCAGCACTTTGGGAGGCCAAGGTGGGCGGATCACCTGAGATCAGGAGTTGGAGACCAGCCTGTCCAACATGGCGAAACCCTGTCTCTACTAAAAATACAAAAATTAGCCAGGCTTCATGGCGGGCACCTGTAATCCCAGCTACTTGGGAGGCTGAGGCAGGAGAATCGCTTGAACCCAGGAGCTGGAGGTTGCAGTGAGCCAAGATCACACCACTGCACTGGGGTGCACAGAATGAGATTCTGTCTCCAAAAAATAAAAATAAAAATAAACAGATTGGGTTAAAAACCAAAGCCCAAGTTATAGGCTGTATATAATAAATGTAGCTAAAATAAAATATTTCAGACGTGTGGAAGGTAAAAAACTAAAGACATACTAGGAAAGTGCCAACAATAAGAAGATATGAATTGTATTAATACTAGAAAATTTTGATTGCCAAGGCAAATTGTTTCAATGAAAGAAAGAAGGAAATAAATTTTTTAAAATATTAAAGTCCAACTAATAATTTCTTGGACCAAGAAGCACAGTATTAAAATAAAGGTAAAATTATAGGAAATACAAGGAAATGTGACAAAATAGAAAGCCTAGGAACACACAAATCAGGTAAGAAATATAGTCATGATAAAGATCACATTTCAAATCAGCAAAAAAGAATTATTATTTGACTTAAATGGCTTTGAGACAACTGGCTAACCATTTGAAAATTTAAAGTTAACTCTCTAAGTTGTAGTGTGTGTGAAATTAAATGCAAATGGTTTGAAATTTCAAAAAGTTAATATATGTAATAAAAGTACTAGACTAGCCAAGTATTTGGGTTCAAAGTAATTTAAATGTATTGTCACAAAGAATTAATTAAATTGCCCAACTCAGCATACCTAATACATGATAGACTAGGATTTGAACTGAGTAAAGCTCCAGGCCCCTGCCCCCCCGTCCGCCTTTTTTTAATTTTTTCACTTTTTCTTTGAGACAGAGTTTTGCTTTGTAGCTCAGGCTGGAGTCCAGTGGTGCAATCTTGGCTCACTTCCATCTCTGACTCCCAGGTTCAAGCAATTCTCCAGCCTCAGCCTCCTGAATAGCTGTGACTACAGGCACCTGCCACCACGCCAGGCTAATTTTTAGTAAAGACGGGGTTTCACCGTGTTGGCCAGGCTGGTCTTGAACTTGTGACCTCCAGTGATCTGCCTTCCTCAGCCTTCCCAAAGTGCTGGGATTACAGGTGTGAGCCTCCATGCCTGACCAAGCAGCACATTTTTACCTTTTTTTTTTTTTTTTTTTTTTTTTTTACTTTAAGTTCTGGAATACATGTGCTGAATGTGCAGGTTTGTTACATAGGTATACATGTGCCATGGTGGTTTACTGCACCTATCAATCCGTCTTCTAGGTTTTAAGCCCTGCACGTATTAGGTATTTGTCCTAGTGCTCTCCCTCCCCTTGTCCCCCACCCCCCAACAGTCCCTGATGTGTGATATTCCCCTCCCTGTGTCCATGTGTTCTCATTGTTCAACTCCCACTTATGAGTGACAACGTGTGGTGTTTGGTTTTCCGTTCCTGTGTTAGTTTGCTGAGGATGATGGTTTCCAGCTTCATCCATGTCCCTGCAAAGGACATGAACTCATCCTTTTTTATGGCTGCATAGTAATCCATGGTGTATATGTGCCACATTTTCTTTTTCCAGTATATCATTGACGGGCATTTGGGTTGGTTCCAAGTCTTTGCTATTGTTTCGCGCCAGTTAGAATGGTGATCATTAAAAAGTCAGGAAACAACCGATGCCATCGAGCATGTGGAGAAATAGGAATGTTTTACACTGTTGATGGGGGTGTAAATTAGTTCAACTGTTGTGGAAGATGGTGTGGTGATTCCTCAAGGATCTAGAACCAGAAATACCATTTGACCCAGAAATCCCATTACTGGGTATATAACCAAAGGATATGTTGTACTATTGTACTATATAGACACATGCACACGTAGTATGTTTATTGCAGCACTATTTACAAGCAGTACATTTTGAAAGTAACAAAGATGAGTTCTAAAAGGAGAATTTGATGGATTTGACTACATGAAAATTACAGTCCTTTCAATGTGAAAAAAATGGAAACAACAAAATCGAAAGTCATCTGATAAACTGAGAAAATAGTTACAAGACATATATCATATAAACACTGTTGACATCTCCAGTACATTCGAGGTTTTGTATCAATAAGAAAACAAAGAAAAAAAGGCAAAGAACACACAGGAAAATGTATAAGTGGTTATTTTGACATCTGCGAAATTAAGTACCATTCAATTAGTAAAAATGATCTTTTAGAAATATATTCTTTATAATGGCTAAAGTGAGAACAATCTATTATCAAAAGAAAAAGGCAGGTTATAGAAACAATATGACAATATGATGACATTAATACTTTTCATTACGTATATATGGTACTGTGTGATTCTTTGTAGCCTTATTTCTCTTTATCTTCATTTTGGTGTAAGAATATTATTTGGAATTGTTTCAACCATTTTATTACCATAAAAGCAAAACAAACAGACAAAAAAATTGCAGAATGAACAAACTGAAGGCCTCACTTTGTTAAGCTGCCAAATAACTATCCTGGACTCACCTTGCCTTTACCTTTCTTATGTAAGAAGATAAATTCCTCATTATTCATGTGACTTTTGGTTTGAACACGCATTGATTTACTTGTAGCTGAAAGCACCCTAACTGATACAGACAGGGAGATACTTGTGGAAAAAATTAATTTGACCATACAACAGAAGAGGAAATAATAAAAGAAGAAAATAGAATCAGTGCATATTTAAGATTTTTCTAAAGCATTTTGAGGGCAAGAGATCAAAGAGATTTTTGAGAAGATTGCGAATTTGGCCTAGTATATCAACAGGGTATCCAGATTTTATAGACACTTTTGCTGTAAGTTAATATAATAATTACTCCTTGCTACCTATTTTAGAGAGTTCCATAAATATGTGCATTTTTTCTGGATATTACATTTGAATTTGTCTTTCTGTCAGATGCAAAAAGTGCTATCTATATAACTCAATTGTATTAGGGCTTTATATGAGTTAGGAAGAGAAAGAGTTTCCCCTTGAATAATAAAATATTTTCTAAAGAGGCAGATTCTGTGTTCAAATGTTCTCAGGAACATAATATATACTACTAATTTCTGAGAATTATAAAATATCAATATTTTAGAAAATAAAATGAAGAATCCTGATATAAGAAAAGTGTTTTGTTCACCTTCCTGTGTCCAAGTGTTCTCATTGTTTAATTCCCACCTATGAGTGAGAACATGCGGTGTTTGGTTTTTTGTCCTTGTGATAGTTTGCTGAGAATGCTGGTTTCCAGCTTCATCCATGTCCCTACAAAGGACATGAACTCATCCTTTTTTATGGCTGCATAGTATTCCATGGGAACATCACGCACTGGGGCCTGTCGTGGGGTGGGGGAGCAGGGAGGGATAGCATCAGGAGATATACCTAATGTAAATGACGAGTTAATGGGTGCAGCACACCAACATGGCACACGTATACATATGTAAGAAACCTGCACGTTGTGCACATGTACCCTAAAACTTAAAGTATAATAATAATAAAAAAAAAAGAAAAGTGTTTTGTTGAGTATTTCCCAAACTGAAGAATGGCTATTACTGGAAGGAACTATAAACTGAGTGGCTTCTAGGTAGAGGTGAGTTATAAATGAATGATATTTTCTTGACAGTGAACTCTAAAAACCCAATGTCTAGGAATACTCTAGGGATTACCTACACAAAATTAATAATAACATTAATAATAATAATCTCATCTTTAAAGATATTATGAGTAAAATAGAGTTTATACAATACTTACCTTATAGTATTGTTGTAAGAATTAAATTGCAATACTGTGGTGATTAAAGAAAATATTTCATTTGGAAGGTTCTTGGTACATTATTAGTATGATTATAATTATTATTAATATGACTTGCCGTTATAATTATCATTATATATCATTATCATGAAGAATATAGTAGGAGAGGTAATGACTGGATTTCTTCACAGCACTGGGGAGGTGGTCTAACATCTCTAGCAGAAATGAGTCAACTCCTTGAGTCAGAGAAAGTGGGTCAGCTTCCTATCTTCAGCTGAGCTGAAGCACAGGTACAGAATTTGAACAGTGACTGGGGTACCAAAGACTATTTGGAACTTTTTTTCTACTTTCCTATAGTTTTTGTATTAATGATATTGCTATCTTCTCAAAATATGTTTAAAATTTCGATTGTAGAATTGCTATTAATCCATGAGACACACTGATTTTGGTTTTATAATTTATTTTTCATTTTTAATTATTGTGGGTACATAGTAGATATATATTTATGGGGTACATGAGATGTTTTGATATAGGCATGCAATATAAAATAAGCACACCATGGAGTATTGGGCATCCATCCCCTCAAGCACTTATCCTTTTAGTTAGAAACAATCCAATTACACTCTTTATTTTAAAATATACAATTAAGTTACTATTGACTATAGTAACCCTGTTGTGTTATCAAATAGTAGGTCTTATTCCTTCCAACTATTTATTGTTGCCGTTAACCATCACCACCTCCGCAACACCTTTTCACCATCAATCCCAGCGTCTGGTAACTATCCTTCTACCCTCTATCTCCATGAGTTCAGTTGTTTTGATTCCTAGAACCCACACATAAGTGAAAAACATACCATGTTTGTCTTTCTGTGCTTGTCTTATTTGACTTAATAATCTTCAGTTCTATCCATGTTGTCACAAATGACTGGATCTTATTCTTTTTTATGGCTGAGTAGTACTCCATTGTGTAGGTACCACATTTTCTTAATCCGTAAGTGTCTATTAATAGACACCTAGGTTGCTTTCAAATCTCAGCTATTGTAAACAATGCTGCAACAAACATGGGAGTGCAGATGCCTCTTCCATATATTGATTTCCTTTATTTTCGTTGTATACCTAGTAGTGAGATTCCTGGATCATATGGTAGCTCAATTTTTAGTTTTTTGAGGAACCTTCAAACTGCTCTCTATAGAAGTTATACTAATTTACATTCCCACCAACCATGTACAAGGGTTGTCTTTTCTCCACATCCTCACCAGCTTTGTTATTTCCTGCCTGTCTTTGGGATGTAAGCCATTTCAACAGAGGTGAGGCAATATTTCATTGTAGCTTTGATCTGCATTTATCTAATGATTAATGATATTGAACACTTTTTCATATGCCTGTTTTCCATTTTTGTTTCCCATTTGAGAAAATGGAAATCTTTTAAATCTTTTAAATGGAATCTTTTAAATCTTTTAAATCGAAATGGAGACGTATTCAAATCTTTTGTCCATTTTAAAAATCAGATTATTAGATTTTTTTCTATAGAGTTGTTTGAGCTCCTTATATATTCTGGTTATTAATCCCTTGTCAGGTGACCAGTTTGCAAATATTTTCTCCCATTCTATGGGTTGTCTCACTACTTTGTTGTTTCCTTTGCTGTGCAGAAGCTTTTTAACTTGATGTGATTCCATTTGTCCATTTTTGCTTTCGTTGCCTGTGCTTGTGGGGAATTACTCAAGAAATTCTTGCTCAGACCACTATCCTGGAGATATTCCCCAGGGTTTTCTTGTAGTATCTTCATAGGCTGCGGTCTTATATTTAAGTCTTTAATCCATTTTAATTAGATTTTTGTATATGGTGAGAGATAGGGGTCTAGTTTCATTTTTTTTTTCTGCATGTGGATATCCAGTTTTCTCAGCGCCATTTATTGAAGAGACAGCTTTTTCCCAAGTGTATGTTCTTGACACCTTCTTAGTTTACTGTAGGGGTGTGAATTTGTTTCTGGGTTGTCTATTCTGTTCCATTGGTTTATATGTCTGTTTTTATGCCACTACCCGCTATTTTGGTTACTGTAGCTCTAATGTAATTTGAAGTCAGATAATGTGGTTTTTCCAGTTTTGTTCTTTTTGCTTAGGACCATTTTGGCTATTCTGTGTCTTATGTGGTTCCATATTCATTTTAGGATTTTTTTTCTATTTCTGTGAAGAATGTCATTGGTATTTTGATAGGGATTTCATTGAATCTATAGATTGCTTTGGGTAGCATTAACATTTTAACAATATTGATTCTTCCAATCCATGAACAAGGAATATTTTCCCATTTTTTTTGTTTTCTCTTCAGTTTCTTTCATCAGTGTTTTATAGTTTTTATTGTAGAGATCTTTTTCTTCTTTGGTTAATTTCTAGGTATTTAATTTTATTGGTGGCTATTGTAAATGGGATTACATTTTAAATTTCTCTTTCTGATTGTTCACTGTTGACATATAGAAATTCTACTGATTTTCTTATTTGGGATGATGTTCTGCAGTATGAATGAATTTGTTTATCAGTTCTAATAGTTTTCTTGTGGAGTCTTTAGATTTTTCCAAATATAACTCTATATCATCTACAAACAAGGATAATTTGACTTCTTTCTTTCCTATTTGGATGCCCTTTATATATGCACCCAACATGGGAGTACCAGATATATAAAGCAAATATCATTACAGCTAAAGAAAGAGAGAGGTCTCAAAACGATAATGGCCAAAGACTTCAACAGCCACTTTCAGCATTGGACAGATGTTCTGTAAGAAATATCTTATCTTTCTCTTTTCTGATTTCTGTAGCTAGGACTTCCAGTGCTGCATTGAATAACAGTGGTGACAGTGGACAACGTTGTCATGTTCCAGATTTTAGAGAAAAGACTTTCAGCTTTTCTCCATTTAGTATGATACTACTGTGAGTGTGTCATAATTGGCTTTTATTATGTTGAGATATGTTCCTTCTGTACCCAGTTTTTTGAGGGTTTTTATTATGAAGGGATGATAAATTTTATCAACTGCTTTTCAGCATCTGTTGAAATGATCATATGGTTTTATCCTTCATTCTGTTGATATGATGTATTACCTTTATTGATTTGCATACATTGAACCATCCTCGCATCCCAGGGATAAATACCACTTGGTCATGATAAATGTTCTTTTAATGTATTGTTGAATTTGGCTTTCTAGTATTTTGTTGATGATTATTGCTTCAGTATTAATCAGACATTGGCTTGTAGTTTTATTTTACTGGTGTGTGTTTGTCTGGTTTTTGGTATCAGAGTAATACTGGCCTTGTATCAGTTTGGAAGTATTCCCTCCTCTTTTATTTTTGGAAAAGTTTGGGTAGGATAGCTATTAGTTTTTTAAATATTTGATAGAATTCAGCAATAAAACCACTGGGTCCCAGGCTTTTTTTTTACTGGGAAATTATTTATTAAAGCTTTGATCTTGTTACCTGTTACTGGTCAGTTCAGGTTTTGGATTTCTTCATAGTTCAATCTTGTTAGGCTGTATGTGTCCAGAAATTTGTCTATTTCTTCTAGATCTTCCAATTTATTGGCATATAGTTGCTCATAGTAGCTAGTAACAATACTTTGAATTTCTGTGATATCAGTTGTAATGTCTCCTTTTTCATCTTTTTTCATCTCTGATTTTAGTTATTTGGGTTTGTCAATTTTGTTTACATTTTTAAAAAACAACTTTTTGTTTCATTAATCCTTTGTATTCTTTATTTCCATGTCATTTATTTCTACTGTGATCTTTATTGTTTCTTTTCTTCCACTAATTCTGGGTTTGGTTTGCTTTTGATTTTCTAGTTCTTTAAGATATATTGTTGATTGTTTATTTGAAGTTGTTTCTCTTTTTTGATGTAGGCTCTTATACCTATAAACTTCTCTCTGAGTGCTGCTTTTGCTGTATCCCATAGGCTTTGGTATGTTGTGTTTCCATTATCATTTGTTTCAGGAATTTTTCAGTTTCCTTCTTAATTTCTTCATTGACCCACTGGTCACTCAGAAGCATATGGTCTAATTTCCATGTATTTGTATAGTTTCCAAAGTTCCTCCTGTTATTAATTTCTAGTTTTATTCCATTGTGATCATAGAAGATGTTTGACATTATTTCCTTTTTTTTAATGTATTAAGACATATTTTATTACCTAAAATATGGTCTGTCCTTGAGAATAATCCATCTGTTGAGGAAAATAATGTGTATTCTGCAGCTCTTGGATAAAATGCTCTGTAAATATCTCTTAGAGCCACTGAATCTATAGTGAAGATTAAGTCCAATGCATATTTGTTGATTTTCTGTCTGGAAGATCTGTCCAACACTGAAATTGGCATGTTGAAGTCTTCTGCTATTATTGTTTTGGGGTCTCTCTCTTTAGCTCTAATGATATGTCCTTTATATAGCTAAGTGCTCCAGTGTTGGGTGCATATATATTTAAAATTGTTTTATCTCCTTGCTCAATTGACCCTTTTATTATTGTATAATGACCTTCTTTGTCTCTTTTTATGGTTTTTGTCTTGAAACCTATTTTATTTGATATAAGTGTAGCAACTTCTGCTCCTTTTTGGGTTTCAATTGGCATGGAATATCTTTTTCTGTCCCTTTATTTTTAGTCTGTGGTGTGTCTTTATAGGTGAAGTGTGTTTCTTGTAGGCAACAGATCAATGGTTCTTGTTTTTTCATCCATTTAGCCAGTCTCTGTCTTTTGATTGGAGAGTTTAGTCCATTTACATTCAATGCTTTTATTGGTAAATATGGAGTTAATCTTACCATTTTGTTATATTTCTGGTTGTTTTGTGGACTGCTCTTCCTTGTTTCTTTCCTTCCTGTCTTTCTCTAGGGAAGATGAGTTTCTCTGGTGAAATAACTTAGTTTCTGGCTTTTTATTTTCTGTGTATCCATTGTGTGTTTTTCGGTTTGAGATTACCATGAGGCTTGTTAATACTATTTTATAACCCACTATTTCAACCAGATAATGACCTAACACTATTTGCTTAAACAAACAAGCAAAAAGACTCTAGTAAAAACTCTATGCCTTAAATTCATCTTCCTGCTTTAAAACTATTTATTGTTTCTATTTATGTCTTCACAAGTTATTGTAGCTATTATTTTGCATTGGTTCATCAATTAGTCTTTCTACTTAGGGCATGAGTAGTTACACACTACAGTTACAGTGTTATAATATTCTGAGTTTTTTTCTGTGTATTTACTATTACCAGTGATTTTTATACCTTCAAGTGATTATTTATTGCTCATTAATTTCCTTTTCTTTCTTATTAAAGTACCCCCTTTAGCACTTCTTATAGGACGGGCCTTGTAGAATGACTTTGGAAGTATCCCATCTGGTATTAATGAAACCCTTCAGCTTTTGTTTGTCTGGGAATGTCTTTATTTCTTCTTCATGTTTGAAAGATATTTTCACCAGATATACTATTGTAAGGTAGAAGTCTTTTTTCTTCAGCACTTTATATGTGTCATACCACCCTCTCCTGGCCTGTAAGGTTTTCACTGAAAAGTCTGTTGCCAAACATTTTGGATCTCTATTGTAGGTTATTTGTTTCTTTTCTCTTGCTGCTTTTACAATCCTTTTTTAAAAATAGTTGATCTTTGGGAGTTTGATTATTAAATGCCTTCAGGTAGTTTTCTTTGGGTTAAATCTGCTTGGTGTTCCATAACCTTCTTTTAATTAGATATTGATGTCTTTCTCTAGATTCAGGAAGTTCTCTATTATTATCCCTTAGAATAAACCTCCTAGTCCTGTATCTTTCTCTATCTCTTCTTTAAGGGAAATAACTCTTAGATTTTCCCTTTTGAGGCTATTTTTTAATATTCTGTAGGCATTTATTTTTATTTTTTGAGACAGATTCTCATTCTGTCACCCAGACTGGAGTGCAGTGGCATGATTTTGGCTTACTGAAACCTCCACCTCCCAGGTTCAAGTGATTCTTGTGCTTCAGCCTCCCAAGTAGCTGGGATTATAGGAGTGCATGACCACACCTGGCTAGTTTTTCTATTTTTAGTAGAGATAGAATCTCACCATGTTGGTCAGGCTGGTCTTGAACACCTGGTCTCAAGTGATCCACCCATCTCGGCCTCCCAAAGTGCTGGGATTACAGGTGTGAGCCACTGTGCCCAGCCCTGTAGGCATTCTTAATTGCTTTTTGTTCTTTTTTTCTTTTGTCTCCTCTGACTGTCTATTTTGAAATAGCCTGCATTCAAGCTGACCAATTATTTCTTCTGCTTGATCAATTCTGCTACCATAAGACTCCGAGGCATTCTTCAGTTTGCCAATTGTATTTTTTAGCTCCAGAATTTCTGCTTGATTCTTTTGAATTATTTCAATCTCTGTTAAATTTATCTGATAGAATTGAATTCTATGTATGTTTTATCTTGAATTTTTTTCGGTTTCCTCAACACAACTATTTTAAATTCTATGAAAAGTCCTATATCTCTGTTTCTCCTGGATTGATCACTGGGTGCCTTATTTAGTTCATTTGATGAGGTTAAGTTTTCCTGGATGTTGTTGATGCTACTAGATGTTCTTCACTGTCTGGGCTTTGAAGAATTAGGCACTTATTGTAGTCTTCACTGTGTGGGCTTATTTGTAGCCATCTTTCTTGGGAAGACTTTCCAGATATTTGAAAAGACTTGGGTGTTGTGATCTAAGTTATATTGCTTTAGGGGACACTCCAAGCCCAGTAACACTGTGTTTCTTGCAGACTTGTAGAGCTATCACCTTGATGGTCTTAGACAAGATCCGAGAGAATTCTCTGGATTACCAGACAGAGACTCTTGTACTCTTCTTGTACTTTCTCCCAAACAAACAGAGTCCGTCTCTCTCTCTCTCTCTCCCTCTGTCTTTTCTGAGCCACCTAATTTATAGCTAACATGCTCGAACCTACATATTTACGAAATGTTGTTACTCATAGTTATCACCGTGGAACACTTTAAGTGTATTCCAATGATGTTACCTCTCAAAACACCACAGCTATCAGTACAAATACTCACCAGTTTGGGACTTTCTTTATAGTCATACCTTACTTTTAATAAAAATAATATGACCCAAAAAGATTATACAAGCACCATCCCAATGACTGTATTGGGTCAGATCTGAAGCCAGAACAGCACTGGGTCTTGCCCAAGGTTTGCTGTAACCACTCCCTGGCTACTGCCAATGTTCACTCAAGTAACTGGAACTCTACAATCCACAGGTGGCAAAGCCAGCCATACCTGTGTCCTTCCCTTCAGGGCAGCAATGTTCCCCAGGCCCTGGATGGGCCCAGAGGTACTGTCTGGGAGTCAGAGACAACAGTCAAAAACCTTATAAGTCTATTTGGTATTCTGTTGTATTGCAGTTGAGGTGACACTCAAACCCCAACACAGTCCTTCCCACTCTTCCCTCACCTTTCCAAAGGCAGAGGAGCCTCACCCAGTACCCACCACCACCTTAAGCCACAGAGAGTACTGCCAGATTACCAGCCAGTGTTATGACCCAAGCTCCTTTAAGTTAGCTTGTGTTGAATGCTGCCTGGCCTGGAGCTCACCCTTTAGGTCAGTGGGCTCCCCTCTGGCTGAGGGAAGGTCTAGAAAAAGGCACATTGATTTTGGATAGTAATACAGAGTGAAACTTGCAGAATTACCTCAATTTTCGGAAGCAGCTTTACATTAATTAGAGGTTAGTTTAGTAAAAAAATGTGTAATTCTTTTGTGTCATATTATTTTTTCTTAAACATAAGGTATGACTATAAAGGAAGCCCCAAACTGGTAAGTATTTATGCTGATAGCTATGGTGTTTTGAGAGGTAACATCATTGGAATGCACTTAAAGTGTTCCAAGGTGATAACTTTGAGTAACAGCATTTCATAAATACGTAGGTTCTGGCATGTTAGCTATAAATAAAATAATTCTTACTATATTATAGTTCTCTCTAACACACACACATACATACGCAGTGAACTTTATGCTGATATTATATATAATTTAAATTTCACAGAGATCCAAAGGTTTTATTTACAAAGATCTTAAGTGATATTGACGGGAAATTAGTCATATTCATTTGTAACTACGAGGCAAGAATAAGGTTATATTTTGAGATATTCCTGAGATCTGCAAAAGTAGTTTCTTGAATAATGAAGCATTAAAATAGCCACAAAAGCACATTTTTGGCATTTCTTTAGAAATTGAGGAAGCCTGCCCTCTGGAGGTTGAGGTAAGGCAAAGATGATTTGCGTATTTAGTTTATGGTCTCGCCAAAGGGCAAGGCACTGTGATTATTGGTTTCTCAGGCACACATAATAGATATGGAAATGGGCATTTCATAATTTTTTTCTAGAAAAGGAGTTCAAATATTTCAGTAAAATACAAACATTATATCCTTTATTACCCAGATAATATTTACTGAATTGTACACAATTTTAAAAACAACCAAATTTGTATTAATAAAATTTAACTTTTAATAGGAAAGAAACATTTATCATTTTTACAAGCTTCCATAATGAGCTCACTGGTAACTATGTTTTGCTTTTATCTTTATTGCCAATATTATGATTACATTAAATGGTAGATAAATAATATGGATTATTAACCCTATATGTAAATGTAACACATGTTGTCTGGACTGAGAATGATTTCTAGGTGAATTAACACATGATTGCAGCCACCCTTGTTGAAAATAGAAGAGCTTAGGGTAGTCTTGTAAGGTCTGTGATAATACACATTTTCTAGTTTTTATGCTTTGTATGTGCATTGAAATGATATGGATATTGTGACTTCTTTATTAATTCTGATGCTTAGCTATTTATTTTTGTGTTCTCCATTGAAATAGACTCCTGAGACAGAGGCTGTTTTTCCTGCTGTAGAAATGCTATGATATGAGTGAGTGGTTTATAATTTCTATAATTCTCTTTTCACTGTAACCTATTAGGGCTCCATTCCAAGATCTATTTCTGACTCCTTTGACATTGGGAAAATTACTTTATACCCTTCCTCAACGTGCTTTCCCTCATCTGTAGAATAAGAAGACTTAGCTCTACTTATCTCAATGGGAAATGTGTTTTATTAAAGGCCTATTAGCTTCTTGAAATATAAAATTGTAGTTTTGGTGGTGTTTCCTTTACTGTGGCACTTGGCATCAAATCTTCTTTTGAAATCTTTATAAATGCCGCTCCATATAAGTGTGCTTTGCAAGGACAAGTGGAAAGTAGTTTGCTTTGCTACAAAAGAAGAAACTGCCTTTATTCTAATAACAGCTAAACCCAAGCAAGTTCCCTCCAAATGATGGCAAATATTTTTTAAGCTTTTAAAATACAATAAAAATGGCATAACTATACATACAGAATGGAACGAAATATAATTATTATGGGACTATTGTGAAATATATATTTTATATATATTATGCTTCAGTTTATTTAAAATTTTTAGCTTGAGAATTTATATAAATGAAAATATTCAAATTTATAGGGACAAGTATATCAGAGGTAAAATTTTAAAATTATTAAAAATGTTGAGTTTCCTACTTATTTTTTTATACCTTCACCAATCCAATTCCTATTTAAGTAAGCAGATATTTGTTTTATAAGTGAGGAATTAAAGAATGTTTTTTAGGGATGGTACACTCCATGGAGCCAATATACAAATTGGCTTAAATACCGAATTTTCTGCCCATCTCATGCACATGTTGTTTAGAAAAGCACCTTCTCATCATAGGTCCCAAACTTTTTGTTCTAACCATGAACATGCCTATATTTTCTTTAACAATGAAGATGGTGTAGAGAGTGGGTGAGGGAGTTGGTTATGAGAGTGGAAGAAGAAAATGAGATATCTAATTTATTCCAGACTCTTTGTTGATTATTTGAATACATGATCCTTAAGGATTCCAAAGTTAACTGAAAAGTGGAAAGGCTTATTTGATTCCTTATGTCTTACTTGAAGGCTTATTATGATCCCAGAGTAACTCATTCATGAACTGTAATCTCTAGGAGCCTATTTCTGTGTGACATTTGTCTTAAACTGCATTATTGGGCACAGAATCACTCCCTCCATTGTAAGAGGTCTTTACCTCTCCACGCATTGTCCTGTGAGCTGTAGTCCCTCTTTCTGGTGGAGGCTATTTTCCTGACTTTTGGATAATGGAATACAAACAAATGTGACATATGTCACATCCAAACAGAATATTTGAAGGAGATCACTTAATACACCTTGGCCTCTTGCTTTTGCCCCTGCCATAAAAACAGCATGTCCCAGACAGCACCTTCACACTGCGTCCTAGAATGGGAAGACATGCAACAGAGCCAAGTAGAGTCCAACAGTGTCTCAGCAGCCACAGCCTGACCACAGCTTACATATAGTGTAAGAGAAACTTTTGAGACAATTTACTGAGCTATGCGGGTTATTACAGCAACAAAAATGCCCACTTTAGAAAATAGCTTTCAAACCTTGTGGTCTGCTCTAACAAAGATGTCTAATGTATGTGACAAAGATTTTGCTGGGCATCAGGAGGAAGAGAGACTTTTTTTTTTTTTTTTTTTTGAAACTGGAAAACTGTTTTTATAGAGTGGCAAAACATTTTGTAGTATTTTGTTTGAGATAGTTCAGAAGACAGTTGATATACTATAAAATGTGGCTCGGACAAAAAAGTTTCAAAACAGTACAATACTGGCGTTTTGAGTTGATTGTGATTTGTTGCATTTGAGAAGGCACTATGAGAAGACTGAGGTCAGAATAGAATTGATGTATTTGAAAGTAGGAAAGAAAGGAAATAGATCCTAGCAATTCTAAAATTTGCAAAATTAAGAAATGAAATGATTTTTCAATTTTAGTCAGTAAACAATTTAATTAGAAAGGCTTTTGAACTACAGTCTCAAGGTAAATACTAAACATGACCATGTTATGCTGCCATTTTCCTCATAGATTAAGGCGGTCTTTCAGATGAACAAAATGGCTCAGGGGAGAGTGGGGGGAATGGGACAATTCCACAAAACCTGATAGATGAAATTACCTAAAAATTAAGAAAGAGCTATGTTCAAATACAAACAGCGGAGGTAATGATTGCATATGGTACTGACTATAATAATTACTACAAACAAACACTTCTTTGAGAAATTTATGTTAGCAGAAGTAACAAAAGCCTGTAACAAAACACTGTGACAGTTTAAGATATCAGTAAGTCCTTGGGCTCCTATTATTGACAGAGAGAAGAAAGAATTGAAGCTCAAAAAAGTCACACATGCCACAGAATTTGAAAATCTGGGAAAATGCTGGAAGAACTGCTTACCACAAAGTAGGCAGTGATATTTTACGGAGTCCCTGTTCTGTTCTGTTCATTGTTCTCCATGCATTTTGGCTCCATGCTCCAAGAAGTTCTTTCTTTTCTATTATCCTCCTTGACTGTTGCTGAAGAGAAAAAATGGAGAATCTTTATTATGATTTCTTGATTCATCTCAGTCTTCTTTTTTTTTTCCTGTTCTCTGCCATAAGAACAAAATACCCCAGACAGGGGATCGTTCTTCATTCTTCAGTCTGTGTTCAGAATGAGGAGATGTTGGAGGGCTGGTCAGACCCATATCAGCCATTGCCGACCTACAGCTTGCATGTAATACAAGTGAGAAATGTTATTGTTCATTTCAGCTCCCTGCTGAAATGTTGAGTTGTTCAAAACTGATCAAGGCATAATTTTTCTTATTAAATATTCACACACTTGTTACTAGTTGCTATTACTCTTTCCATTTTACAAATCATGAAACTTGCTCTAAAATTAATATATTAATTCTTTCAAGAATATAAGATGCATACTCCATACTGTAAGAGACACTACCTTAACTGCTCCAATTTAATAACAAAATTTCTAACTTTCACATAAACCATTGGTTCCCAGATACAGACAAGAAGCTTTGTCCAACTCACTCAATGAAGAAATATAAATTTACTCATGGAGTACACATAAGGTGAAAGGTAGAACGAGGAAGAACCCAACATAAAGAGGAGAAACACAACCTAAATATTAAATAGCAACACAAAAGTGTTCACAAAATCTTGTATATGAAGATAATCAAGAAACATAGTAATTCAAAAGGAGAGATGAATACAAATTGTATTTTTCTGAATATGGGCTTTTAAAAATGCAGGATTTCTGGATGCTATGTTATGTTTTATAATGAAATTTTCTGTAAGGATTTACTGTATCTTTTGACTCCCCTTGATTATATAAACTTTTCTCAATTAAACATTTCTTCTCTGAATAGGAACATGCACTACTTATTTGTAGCTCTACTTTCCATGCTTGGCACATAAGAGGTGCTCAATAAATATTTGTTGAATTGAACTGGACTTACAATAAAAAACTTTAAATACTGTATAGTTTAGCATCATCATTGTTGGTGAAAAGTAATTGGCTAAATCAGGGATTGACAAGCTACTGTCTGCAAGCCAGTTTCAGCATGCACCCAGTTTTTGTACAGCCCTCAAGCCAGGAATGATTAAAACAAAACAAAAACAAGAATGTGAAATAGAGACTCTATGATGCCTGCAAAACCTAAAATATTTCCTGGCTGGCATTGTATAGCCAATTTTTGCTGAGCGCTGGTTTGAATTCAAAGAATACTTCCTGGACTTAATCCCAGACGTGTGGAATTTATGCAATAACATATGTAATAATATTTCAGATTAAGGAACAACATTATAAACAGAGGAAAATGCACATGGTAAGAGGAAATTTGCTGGGAACTTCTGGGAAAATTATTTTCAGTTTCAAAAAGGGATGAGGAATAAGTGCAGCATTTTTCTTCTCTCTAGTCTTTGAGCATTGTTGTGTGGGAATGTAATACCTGAAGGTGCTTGCAGCCATCTTGAGACTATAAAGGGACAAGCCTGATCATAAAAGCCAACACATTGAGGACTGTACACTGAAAAGATGGAAAAAGCCTTTGTCCTTAGTGATGTCATTAAGCATCAGAATTTCCAAACCTAGAAATATCATAATTATGTATCTTTCTATAAGTGAAAATATTAAAAATTTCTGGTATTTTTAAGTCAATTGATTCAAATTTTATATTCCTTGCATGTGAAAACATCCTTAGAGTTTGGTTGCAAAGTAGAATAAGTAGATATTCTTTTAAATATCTGTCTTGGGTTTGTAAACTGCTTAGAAAATGAGAGGACAACTGGACAAACGAGCAGCTTATGTAGACTTGACATGATTTATTTAATTGCTATATTATTGTAGTAAACAAGTGAAAAACAGTCTTAGAAAAATCTAAGCCATAATGTTCCCAACACAACATAAATGATCATGAAGTAAAAGTATAAATTGGTGCAAAAATAATTGCAGTTTTTACCATTGAAAGTAATGGCAAAACCCACAATTACTTTTGCACCCACCTAATAATACTCAGACAAGGCCATTGTGCAGCCATGTTTGAGAAGACAGAAGGAGACTCTTCTCAACTGTAAACATGCCTTAAACACTGTCTGACAAAATTTTTAGGCTTGAAGTCAGGTAGCGTGATGCCTCCAGCTTTGTTCTTTTGGCTTGGGATTGACTTGGCGATGTGGGCTCTTTTTTGGTTCCATATGAACTTTAAAGTAGTTTTTTCCAATTCTGTGAAGAAGGTCATTGGTAGCTTGATGGGGATGGCATTGAATCGGTAAATTACCTTGGGCAGTATGGCCATTTTCACGATATTGATTCTTCCCACCCATGAGCATGGAATGTTCTTCCATTTGTTTGTATACTCTTATTTCATTGAGCAGTGGTTTGTAGTTCTCCTTGAAGCGGTCCTTCACGTCCCTTGTAAGTGGGATTCCTAGGTATTTTATTCTCTTTGAAGCAATTGTGAATGGGATTTCACTCATGATTTGGCTCTCTGTCTGTTATTGGTGTATAAGAATGCTTGTGATTTTTGTACATTGATTTTGTATCCTGAGACTTTGCTGAAGTTGCTTATCAGCTTAAGGAGATTTTGGGCTGAGACAATGGGGTTTTCTAGATATACAATCATGTCGTCTGCAAACAGGGACAATTTGACTTCCTCTTTTCCTAATTGAATACCCTTTATTTCCTTCTCCTGCCGAATTGCCCTGGCTAGAACTTCCAACACTATGTTGAATAGGAGTGGTGAGAGAGGGCATCCCTGTCTTGTGCCCGTTTTCAAAGGGAATGCTTCCAGTTTTTGCCCATTCAGTATGATATTGGCTGTGGGTTTGTCATAGATAGCTCTTATTATTTTGAAATACGTCCCATCAATACCTAATTTATTGAGAGTTTTTAGCATGAAGGGTTGTTGAATTTTGTCAAAGGCCTTTTCTGCATCTATTGAGATAATCACGTGGTTTTTGTCTTTGGTTCTGTTCATATGCTGGATTACATTTATTGATTTGCGTATATTGAACCAGCCTTGCATCCCAGGGATGAAGCCCACTTGGTCATGGTGAATAAGCTTTTTGATGTGCTGCTGGATTTCGTTTGCCAGTATTTTATTGAGGATTTTTGCATCAATGTTCATCAAGGATATTGGTCTAAAATTCTCTTTTTTTGTTGTGTCTCTGCCTGGCTTTGGTATCAGGATGATGCTGGCCTCATAAAATGAGTTAGGGAGGATTCCTTCTTTTTCTATTGAATGGAATAGTTTCAGAATGAGTGGTACCAGTTCCTCCTTGTACCTCTGGTAGAATTCAGCTGTGAATCTGTCTGGTCCTGGACTCTTTTTGGTTGGTAAGCTATTAATTATTGCCACAATTTCAGAGCCTGTTATTGGTCTATTCAGAGATTCAAATTCTTCCTGGTTTAGTCTTGGGAGGGTATATGTGTCGAGGAATTTATCCATTTCTTCTAGATTCTCTAGTTTATTTGCATAGAGGTGTTTGTAGTATTCTCTGATGGTAGTTTGTATTTCTGTGGGATTGGTGGTGATATCCCCTTTATCATTTTTTTTTTGCATCTATATTGCATCTACCTGACTTCAGACTATACTACAAGGCTACAGTAACCAAAACAGCATGATACTGGTACCAAAACAGAGATATAGATCAATGGAACAGAACAGAGCCCTCAGAAATAACGCCACATATCTACAACTATCTGATCTTTGACAAACCTGAGAAAAACAAGCAGTGGGGAAAGGATTCCCTATTTAATAAATGGTGCTGGGAAAACTGGCTAGCCATATGTAGAAAGCTGAAACTGGATCCCTTCCTTACACCTTATACAAAAATTAATTCAAGGTGGATTAAAGACTTCAATGTTAGACGTAAAACTATAAAAACCCTAGAAGAAAACCTAGTCATTACCATTCAGGACATAGGCATGGGCAAGGACTTCATGTCTAAAACACCAAAAGCAATGGCAACAAAAGACAAATTGACAAATGGGATCTAATTAAACTAAAGAGCTTCTGCACAGCAAAAGAAACTACCATCAGAGTGAACAGACAACCTACAGAATGGGAGAAAATTTTCGCAACCTACTCATCTGACAAAGGGCTAATATCCAGAATCTACAATGAACTCAAACAGATTTACAAGAAAAAAGCAAACAACCCCATCAAAAAGTGGGCGAGGGACATGAACAGACACTTCTCAAAAAAAGACATTTATGCAGCCAAAAAACACATGAAAAAATGCTCATCATCACTGGCCATCAGAGAAATGCAAATCAAAACCACTATGAGATATCATCTCACACCAGTTAGAATGGCAATCATTAAAAAGTCAGGAAACAACAGGTGCTGGAGAGGATGTGGAGAAATAGGAACACTTTTACACTGTTGGTGGGACTGTAAACTAGTTCAACCATTGTGGAAGTCAGTGTGGCGATTCCTCAGGGATCTAGAACTAGAAATACCATTTGACCCAGCCATCCCATTACTGGGTATATACCCAAAGGATTATAAGTCATGCTGCTATAAAGACACATGCACACGTATGTTTATTGCAGCACTATTCACAATAGCAGAGACTTGGAACCAACCCAAATGTCCAACAATGATAGACTGGATTAAGAAAATGTGGCACATATACACCACGGAATACTATGCAGCCATAAAAAATGATGAGTTCATGTCGTTTGTAGGGACATGGATGAAATTGGAAATCATCATCCTCTGTAAACTTTCGCAAGGACAAAAAAACAAACACCGCATGTTCTCACTCATAGATGGGAATTGAACAATGAGAACACATGTACACAGGAGGGGGAACATCACACTCTGGGGACTGTTGTGGGGTGGGGGGAGGGGGGAGGGATAGCATTGGGAGATATAACTAATGCTAAATGACGAGTTAATAGGTGCAGCACACCAACATGGCACATGTATACATATGTAACTAACCTGCACATTGTGCACATGTACCCTAAAACTTAAAGTATAATTATAATAAAATTAAAAAAAATTAAAAAATTAAAAAAAATTAAAAAAAATTAATTCAAGATGGATTAAAGAATTAAATGTTAGACCTGAAACCATAAAAAAAAATTTTAGGCTTCATATATATATATATATATATATATATATATATATATATATATATATTTTTTTTTTTTTTTTTATTATACTTTAAGTTCTAGGGTACATGTGCACAACGTGCAGTTTGTTACATATGTATACATGTGCCATGCTGGTGTGCTGCACCCATTAAATCATCATTTACATTAGGTATATCTCCTAGTGCTATGCCTCCCCACTCCCGCCACCCCACAACAGGCCCCGGTGTGCGATGTTCCCCTTCCTGTGTCCAAGTGTTCTGATTGTTCAATTCCCATCTATGAGTGAGAATATGCAGTGTTTGGTTTTCTCTCCTTGTGATAGTTTGCTGAGAATGATGGTTTCCAGCTTCATCCATGTCCCTACAAAGGACATGAACTCATCATTTTTTATGGCTGCATAGTATTCCATGGCATATATGTGCCACATTTTCTTAATTCAGTCTGTCGTTGTTGGACATTTGTGTTGGTTCCAAGTCTTTGCTATTGTGAATAATGCTGCAATAAACATACGTGTGCATGTGTCTTTATAACAGCATGATTTATAATCGTTTGGGTATATACCCAGTAATGGGATGGCTGGGTCAAATGGTATTTCTAGTTCTAGATCTGTGAGGAATCACCACACTGTCCTCCACAATGGTTGAACTAGTTTACAGTCCTATCAACAGTGTAAAGGTGTTCCTATTTCTCCACATCCTCTCCAGCACCTGTTGTTTCCTGACTTTTTAATGATCGCCGTTCTAACTGGTGTGAAATGATATCTCATTGTGGTTTTGATTTGCATTTCTCTGATGGCCAGTGATGATGAGCATTTTTTCATGTATCTGTTGGCTGCATAAATGTCTTCTTTTGAGAAGTGTCTGTTCATATCCTTCACCCACTTGTTGATGGGGTTGTTTTTTTCTTGTAAATTTGTTTGAGTTCTTTGTAGATTCTGGATATTAGCCCTTTGTCAGATGAGTAGGTTGCAAAAATGTTCTCCCATTCTGTAGGTTGCCTGTTCACTCTGATGGTAGTTTCTTTTGCTGTGCAGAAGCTCTTTAGTTTAATTAGATCCCATTTGTCAACTTTGTCTTTTGTTGCCATTGCTTTTGGTGTTTTAAATATGAAGTCCTTGCCCATGCCTATGTCCTGAATGGTATCGCCTAGGTTTTCTTCTAGGGTTTGGTTTTTATGGTTTTAAACCAATAATATCAGTAGTCCTACTTTAATCCCCTACCTCTTAGGATAAAAATTCAGGTATTCATTGTTGTCACCTTTGACACTGTCCAAGGCAAAACAGCATCCTTTGTCCCTCTTAAGAATTATCAAGCTCTAATCTGAATCCTCTCCCAAGTCCCTCTTACTGATATGCTTCCAGATATGTTTTTCCTGCTGTAAAAAGCTAAAGAAACCTAACAGTCTTTACTACAAGTTTTTTCCTGGTGATTAAAACAAATTAATAGACTTTTTGAAAAATCAGTTTTAAACTCATAGAACAATTCAGCAGAAAGTACAGAGTTCCCATATACTTTGTCCCTAGCCCCCGCTGAGTTTCCCCATTACTAACATCTCACATTACTGTGGTAGATTTGTTACAGTTGATAAACTAATATTGATAAGCTACTATTAACTAAAGTCTATAGTTTACATTCCTTTGTGTGGTGGGGTTTTTTGGCCTGTACCAAATGCAAAATGTCATGTATTCATCCATCATTGCAGTATCATATACAATAGTTTCACTGCCTGAAAAAATCCCCTGTGCTCCACCTGTTCATCCTTCCCAAACTCCACCCCTTATCCCCTGGAAACCACTGATTCTTGCACTCCCTCTGTAGTTTTACTATCTCAATAGTTTTACCTTTTTTATAAAATAAAACATATAGGATACAATTTGAATCATATAGCATGTAGCCTTTTGAGAATGGTTTCCTTTATTTAATAATATGCATTAAAGATTTATCTGTGTTTTTTCATGATTTGATAGCTCATTTATTTATTTTTTATTTTATTTATGTATTTATTTTTGAGATGGAGTCTCACTCTTTTTGCCCAGGCTAGAGTGAGGTGGGGCAATCTCAGCGCAATGCAACCTTCACCTCCTGGGTTCAAGCAATTCTCCTGTCTCAGCTTCCCAAGTAGCTGGGATTACAGGCACACACCAATACGCCCAGCTAATTTTTTTGGCACTTTTTTTTTAGTAGAGATGTGGTTTCACTATGTTGGCCAGGCTGGTCTCGAACTCCTGACCTCAATTAATCCACCCGCTTCGGCCTCCCAAAGTGCTGGGATTACAGGCGTGAGCCACCATACGCAGCGCCATCTATTTTTATATTAATAAATAATATTTCGCTGCATGGTATACCATAGTTTGTTTGTTCCTTTATACCTATACAAGGCATCTTGGTTACTTCCCATTTTGGGAAACTGAAATTCAAGGAAATGGCTAAGCATACCTTTAATTTCCAACATATACAAAATAGAAAATATAATCTATGTTTCCCCTATCCCTCAGGTTGTATTTGTGTGCAGTTCAATTCATATTTCTGAATCACACAGCTGAGGATATAAAGTATTCTTCTTAGAAGAAATAAATATGCTTAAGCTACACATAAAATAAGACATTATCTCACCAAGTAGTCATTTTTTTCCCATTCAGTTTACTCCCTTTCACCATTGTAGATGATAATAAACTTGAGCAAATATTAGGTTTTTTCCTTTCAAAGTTTTAAGAATGTTTCATATAGATAGATTCTAGATATATGTTATTTACAGACATTTTGAAGCCATCACCTCTTCCAAGAAATGCCTCCTCTTTGTTTGCCTACTACAATATTTTTCACCATAGGAGACATTTATCACCTGGTGGTGAATTACCTGTTGTAGTTTACCAGCTTGTTCCTCTTTGCCATGTTTTTCAGGAGTGGCTAGCTAAGGTGTCCAGTGAGTGATCTATTTCCAAGGATAGTCTTCTTAGCGTATTTTCAGAATTCCCCAATCTTTGGAACTGTGATGCTAGAGATTTATGAAAGTCTTTATTATGGCTTTGGCATCCTGTATAAAAGCCTCTGCATTTTTCATAGCAAAACATTTATAGTACTTTTTTCTCTAGCATTATGGTTTTATAAATATCTTATTATAACCAATAAAGTCTGTGGACAGAACTGTCAATCTTTTCTTTTAATAATTTCCGATGTCTGACTTAAATTCTACAGACCCTAAAGATTTAAAAATCAAATTAGCTACCTTTTGAGTGCTGTTGAATTAAAGATCATCATTTTCCATCGTCTCATTGAAAGATGTCAGATGTAATGCAGAAGAATTTCCATAACTTTGTGTGGCATATTGGTGAATTGTCAGGAACACAAACAGAAGTTATACAGGGAGTCAGTAGTCCAGAACCACCGGGAAAATTATTTAGTAAATGAGTCACACATAATTTTAAGTTTTATGATTTTATTCAGAAAAAACACTTGAACATAACTAAGAAAATAAGCATAAGTAATTAACCAAATTAGAACTCTTACCTTTTATGTAACCTACACTTATATTCAGAAGAGCACTTTTGTTGAAAATTGTATGAATCATGAAAGTAATAGAATGTAGTACATGTCTATTCAACTCACACTTCTTTCTGATAATACACTGATGGGACATTTTATAATTGTTCTTGATGACATCTACTCTGAGAGGTAAAGACATGAAATCCATACTCCTAGACTCTCTTCTTCATCCATTCATCCTTGGGAGAAGTGGTTCATTATGATACTAACTTTTGATGATTGAAAAAAGATGGAAATCTTTTTTTTTTTTTTTTTTTTTTTTCTGAGATGGAGTCTCGCTCTGTCACCCAGGCTGGAGTGCAGTGGCCCGATCTCAGCTCATTGCAACCTCCATCTCCTGGGTTCAAGCGATTCTTCTGCCTCAGCCTCCCGAGTAGCTGGGACTACAGGTGTGCACCATCACACCCGGCTAATTTTTGTATTTTTAGTAGAGACGGGGTTTCACCATATTGACCAGGCTGGTCTTGAACTCCTGACCTCGTGATCTGCCTGCCTCGGCCTCCCAAAGTGCTGGAACTACAGGCGTGAGCCACCATGCCCAGCTGAAAATCTTTACTGAGCACAAATTACACACTAAGCACTGCTATAGATTTTTTTTTTTTAACTTGCTTTCTCTTCCTGTGGTTCTCTCTTACCTCTGGGAGGCAGGCATCTTGATCTCTAATTTGCGAATGTGAAAACTGAAGTTGAGAAAAATTAGGTGCTAAAGCAGAGTGATTTTAGAAAGCATTAGTTTCTAAGAAGTGTGGAACTGATAACTACTTTAGAGGAAATTTGTTCTTGAAAGCAGGGGAAAAAAAAACCACTTTCTAAGAAAGGCAAATGGAGGTGAGACTCTTGAAGCAAAGCATGTGCTTTATTATTTTCCTTTGATCCTTTGGTAGACCCAGTTTAGGCTTCCTGCCCAGTTGAAACATTTTTTTCTGAGAAATTTTGCCATCCCCCAAGTGGCAATCATAAAAGATAGTACACTACCTTTCCACAATGCATTTTCTTTTGCTTCAGGTAATTTGAAGGGAGTTCCTGGTATTTGCAACCAAGAAACTTTAAACAGATTTTTTCTAGAACTCTCTACTCATAGTACAGTAAATATGTATATATATATATATATACACATATATATGTATATATATATACACACATATATATGTATATGTGTATACGTTTGTTTTTAACTTACCTTTCAGTCTTCAAGATTTAAGAAAACAATTATTTGGATGACTGTAAGAAATTTTGTGATACTAAAAGTAAATTAGGGCAAGAAGTTGGAAATGTAGATATTTAAAAGTTTATAGCCTAGGATGAATTCTGCAGAGTTGAAGAGGCACCACCCACTGTCTTGGAACTCATTCGTATCTTTGGATACGGAAAGGTCAGGTGGCTCTGTGTCCACAACTACTCTGTGTAACTCCACTAATTTTATGCTACTGACTGGAAATATTCAAATATTGCATATCTGTGGTTTCCCTGTAGCATAAGTCAGTAAACTTCAAAGACTTCACTGATAAGTTTGAGGCTTTAATTTCTTTCTAGTATCATGTTTTTTTTTGTACATGTTTAAGAAAAGGCTTTTTGAAATTTCAGATGCTTTGAGGCAGGGGTAAAAAGAAACATAAGAGAAAATGCCTTGTTTGAATGATGTATTAAATAGAAGCTAAATGTGTAAACTTGAAGGATGTATGTGTGTTGATGTGGGATGAGAACACTGTGAAGAGGAAATTCCGAACTCCATGCATTTCTATTTCACATTTGGTGATTACATTTTTAGCATGCTGGGAAAGAAATCAGACACAAAACGCCCGTTATATAAAAAGATTTTTTCTGTCTAATTCCCCCCTTCACCATGCTAACTACATACCCACTTATATTTAATTCCACACACTCAAAATGCAGTCACATTTTGAAGGGGAAAATAGTTTAAACTAAGACAAGCAATTACCTAGTTATTTTTTAATATTCCCCTCTGCTCCCTATTACTGACTTTAATGAAAACCAGAACAGCATATACTACATTTTAAAAAATTAAATATGTCCCAGTGAATAGGTGCAGAATCATACTTTATTTAATAGTTTTCAACTATTTTAAAAACAGAAAGGTGGTATCCTCAGTTGATATTAATGTGTAAAAAGGCTTCTCGTAGTTTTTATTTAATAGGCAGAATTTCCTTTTTGACTGTGGTTAGCAGAAAATAATAATAGTTACAGTTACAAAATGCTTTAAATTCAAACGTTCTCCCACCCCAATCAAAGACCTTGTTAGATAAAATAGGATATTTCTGGTTTTTAAATTTGGAGAAATTGAAGCTCAGTTTTGCAAACTCAAGGAACCTCTCATCAATCATCAAAATAGTGCTGGAATCCAGGCTTCTCTTCCTTCTAGTAGGGCCAGGGCTCTTACTGCTTTCCTAATGCTGTGTACCATTTAAACCCTCTGAAATAACATGTTCAAATATTTGTTCCTACATTGCTAGGAATTTAGAGGAAAATAGAGAAGACTTAAAGAAATTATTACAGTAAGAAAGTAGAATCTTTGAAGGCAAGATAAATCAGTTGACATAGTCTAGCCTGGAGAGGATAAGGTTAGAAGGTGACTTGATACATGTCTTTAAGTAAAATGATCCTGTGAAGAGGTGCTCTGTATCTCTGTCAAGGTGATAGTATGAATTACAGTGATGAACTACTGGGTCAAATATAAGGTATATTTTATTGACAGGGACTGCATTAAATTCGATAATAGGCACCAAAAAAAGGTGAAATGTCCTTTTACAAAGAAATAAAGAAAATAAGGTCTGAAGCTCCATTTTACCTGATTAAATTATAACATCATTTATGGTTATTCAAGCTTGTAATAATATATCTCTGGTCATATACCAAATTGCTAATCTCTAAAATGATCGAATCTTATGAATGAGCGTATCTATATGATGTATTAATTCCCTTTGAAGTCCACATTGCCTCATTTCAATTGAATTGAATATTCTAACTGGAAGGAAGCAAAAGATACTGCAATCTATCACATGATCTTTAATTAACTAACAGTACCTCAGGGTGAATCCAAAAGCTGTTCTTATGCAGTGGAAATTCCAATTTTGGCTTCCTTTTCCTGCCTTTTTTTGTTTTTTCTTCAGTTATTCTTCATCTACATTTTGTTACTGATAAACCTCTCTAGATAGTAGGATAGAATAAAGAAGAACTGAGAATTCAAGCTTTCCTAATGTTATTACTTCTTATCAGGCTTGTTTTCAAAAAGAGAACACAGGGAGGAGAGAGAAATATAACAGCAAGTTTTTTGCATTTTCTTGGAGCCTTTAGATGCATGTTATCAATGAGTATTTTATTCTATATGCAGAATTTTATGAACACCTGTCAGAAATTGTGTGCTATTAAAGTGCTGTGTGGAGTGTGAAATAAATCTAGAATATAATCTGTGTATGTGTGGAGTTTATAGTAGCTATTGATAAAAATAACCATATGTAATTAGGTGCCAACTGACATGATACAGACTTCAAGTGTTGTAGAATCTCACAAGAGAAAATGATTGATTCCGTCATTCAATACGAATTGGGCAAATACTATGTTTATTCATTTATTTCTGTAGTCAATAAAATTTTGTACAGTGCCTACCAAGTACCAGGCATGGAAAATAGAGAAACCAAATTAAGCAGGGGAGGGATTAAGGTGAGACGTGGAAAGGGGTTTATTTGATGTAGGTGGACAAGGAGGTCTCACTTATTTCCCAAAGAAGCTGAAGGAGTAAACCTTTTGGATACACTGGAAAGGGCATTCCAAGAAGAGGGAGGGGAATGGCAAAATCCTGGAGGTATAATGTATGTTTGGGGTGGCTGGAATAGAGTGAGTTGGGATCAGAGGAGATCAGAGATGTAGTGATAGGCAGATCATTTGGCATCTTATATATCATTGTAAAGATATTCATTGGATCTCCAGGAAGGCAAATCACTGGAGGAATTTCAGCAGAAAATTAACATAATCTGACTTGTTTGTAAACAAAATTGCTTTGGATGCTCCCTTGAGAATGGGCAATATGAAGGCAATAGAGGAAGCAGAGGGATACAAGGAGATATTGCAAAAATCCAGGCAGGATTCACTGGTTGCCTGGACACCCGGGATAGTAATAGAAATAGTAAAAAAGTAGTACAGTTAAGGATATATTTTAAAGGTAGAACATGCAGCAGTGCTGATAAAAAACGGATGAAGTAGGGGGATGGAAGAATTGCTAGAATAGTACATCTTTGAATAGGTGAAAGGGGATGAAATCTAGTACACAAGGAGAAGGAGTGATTGTGAGTAGGAAAATGAAGAGCTTCTCCATAGCAACAAGAGCCAAGGAAAAGTACACAGCCCAACCCTAATCCTGACCTTAAACTTAATTTATATGGCCACTGTCACAGGTAGGTAGGTAGATATAGTGGTAAGAATTTGGCGGGGTGGGGGTGTGTGTTCTCTTTTGACACCTCCAGTTTCTCAGTGGAAGAGGAATAAATGTCATTGGCTAAGAGTGAAGATACTCAAGAGATCCTAGTGATTTAAAGAAAATGAAAAAAGTGTCAATTTTTATTAAGGAGAGTAGGAGAGTAAATGGACTAAAACAATGAGGAAGGATTGCTGAGCAGGACCAAGAGTCCCTTGAGCTCATAAAATGTCAACCAGCGAACACGTGGTTTTCTCCAGTCATGTTCAGTTGCATAGGTCTAGATAAAGAGTAGTTGGAGAATTGTTTTGTTTTGTTTTGTTTTGTTTTGTTTTGTTTTGTTTTGTTTTGGTCAGGCACTGCTGTGAAGAGAGGGATGGTAAAGAGATCAGTAAATACAAGAGGGTGATTGCAATGATGGTACATGTTTTTTAATAGATGAAGAGAGAAGGAAAGGCATGAGGTATGTTAGGTCCAATGAAAAGGAGTTAGGATTAATTGTTCGATATCTTGGTGTAATTAAGCATTTATTGAAGTTAAAGAACAAAATGGGTGGGCTAGAAGGAAAGACACTGGTGAGTGGAAGGGTTAAGATGCAAGAAATTATAATTTTGGAGGGAATACAATAATTGATAATGCCAAGGTTTCTAAGAATATAATTATGAGTGAGGCAAAATGAATAATAGAATATGGGAAGAGAGGAATTCAAGGAACTGGGTGGCTAAGAATTTGAAAGACCATGTACATGAACATTAAAATCACCAAGAATAAAACAAGGTTGTTTTTGACAAGAGTGATAGCAGTGTGCAAGAAGTCAATGAGTGAGAGAACGTGACTGTGACATCACTGGCAAAAGAGTCAAAGGTAGGATAATGTAGGAAAGGAAGAATTCTCTGAAAGTGCCAACAAGGACCAATCCATTCCATCGGAAAAACTCACGATGGAGGAGAATGCAAGTGTAAACATTCTCCACTTGTGAGGACTGTAGTTTTAAACTGATTTTAGTTAAAAAACTAAAGGGAAGGAAAATTGTATTGAGGAATTTGAGAATGTAGGAAATTTTGCTGATCACTGGGTACAACTGTGAAAATGTTTCAGGAGCTGGACAGGTTTTGGAAATGGAGTCAGAAAAGTTTATGTAGAAGGCAATCTGAGGACTAGAGTCTTCATGGTAAGGGATGACCTGGAAATTCTCGGCTTCCTGTAGTGATATGTCCAGGGATCAAGGGAATAATGGGATTTGTCCTGATGGTCTCAGTGCAGACGCCCATAGAGGGGCTATGAGAGCTAGTAGGAACGTAGGGTGAAGCAGTTGCCAATTCCATTGATTTCTGGAGGCCTGACTTGACCTAGTAATGGTGACATGGAGGTTGGAAAAAGAAGTTTGGTCTCAAATAAAGCACCGAGATCTCTGTGGCTCCCTCTTGTCTCTATCTCTAGAAGATGAGGAAGCTGGAGAATGATAGTTTTTACTGAAGCTCAAAGAGCACCAATATTCCCTCCTGGCTCCTTCCAAAGGAAACCTGTTGTCAGCATAAGACTATTTCATCCAGAGGTAATTGACTACTCCAAGTGTGGAGATCAGAGGCCATATGAGAAGCATCTAAGAAAGAGTGGTGGTCCATACTGTTTTTGAGAAAGATTTCATTGTGGAATTACAACTGAGCTCAAATGATCACTACATTTGGATCATAAAAACACAGTATAATTCAATGAGGAGACTAGCGTCAAAGACGTTGCTCAGGGTATAAGAAGTTTGTCAGGGCCCGGCATGGTGGCTCATACCTGTAATCCTAGCACTTTGGAAGGGTGAGGTGGGAGGATCACTTAAATCCATGAGTTTGAGACCAGCCTGGGCAATATAATGAGACCTAATTTTTTTCTACAAAAAATTAAAAATTAGCTGAGTGTGGTGGCACACGACTGTAGTCCCAGCTTCTCAGGGTGCTGAGGCGGGAGGATCACCTGAGCCTGGGAGGCAAAGAGTGCAGTGAGCCGAGATATTGCCACAGCACTCCAGCCTAGGTGAAAGAGTGAGACTGTCCCAAAAAAAGTTTGTCAGGTGGGAAGTGGTCTGCTGCAGCGGAGATACACATTGGGAAATAGTAGAGAAGAATAATGTTAGCTTAACAAGTGGCAACTTTCTTACTAATTCTGGGAAATTGTAAGGTACAAAGATGATAAAATAGAATTTTTTTTTTCAGCTCTTCATCTTGTCAGGAGACCAAAGACTGAAGGGGAAGTCTCTTTGTGGAGTCTAAATGGTATCTCTTTCAGCAGTTTTAGTCTAGGAGCTGAAATATATAAAACAGCAATGGTTCAAGCATTCTTTGCTGAAATAATCTTTTCTTGTATCTAACCTTGTATTAAAGTAACTATTCCTTATGCACCTACTCAATGATAATAGGCACTTCAAACATTATTTCCTTTAAATCTCTCCTTAATTCTATGAGTTATTGTACAGGCTGGGAAATGAAAGGTCTACTCTAATGTAAGCGTAAGAGCCACCCTCTTGTTCATGATACCACATCCTGTATGAAACAGTGTCTCACAGTTGTTAGGTCCGTTAGAAATATTTCTTAAGTGGTTAAAGTTAAGTAACTTAGCCAAACTGACACACAGAATTAAAAATCATTTAATTTGCATGGATAATAATTGATATTTTTATTGGTTTATAAAAATATTAGTACCATGTTAAGTTTGACATTTCATTTGTTAAAGGTGTTGCTTCCTTTAACCTGAAGGTATTGTTCTCACTCATTCTCCCCATCCCATTTGGAATTGCCCAAGCTAAGAAGCAAGCGATACAAATTTTGACTAGTTGAATTCCATGTTACTGCCTGCTCCATGTTTACTTGTAAGCGGGATCCACTATATGTTAAATGATTATACTTACTGGTGTGGGTCTCAGAGCAGCACTGTTAATTTATATGGATTTCCCTTATGATTATCAGCTTCTGTTATGCTGAAACAAACATTCACATTTCTGCTTTTCTGAAAAAATATTTTAATTTTCTTTAAGAAAATAAAATATTTTCCTTTGATTATTTTTAACACTTCAAGAAATCTACAATTTATTTGGAAATATAGAATGAGAATACAGATCAAACTGTATACTTCTTTTCCAATTTATTAACCAATTATTCCTGTTATCAGTATATTCTATCTCATTCATAACATTCTAATTATAAAATATATGTCATAAAATTATTCTATTTAATAACATTTTTCAAGAATTTAGCATTTTGCTTCAATCATATGTTAAATTATCAAACTTAGAGTTTTTGGTATATATTTTCTATTATCTTCAATAGATTAGGTTACTGTGTCTAGGGGAAGTACTAAGCTATTTAAATTATTTTATCTTCATACCCTACCTTAAAACCTGGATTTTCGAGCCCTCACTCATTGTCAACTCATTGTCATTATTTTCTAATATGTTCTTTACTATGTTAGTCTATTTATTCCAGGCTACTTAAAAACTTTTGATTTTTATTAATTCTTAATAAGTATTTAACGCTTTTCCAAGGTTCTTAATATATTCATGTGGTCTTGTTTGCTTGTGTGTGCACATATGCGTGAGTTACTTTTCAAAGCATTTTATTCTAATACTATATTTTATTTATAAGAGACATTTAATATATAAGAACATGGAAAAATCTAAACAAAGAATAAAAATAGAGCAGACAAATACTATAAAAATAGTAGGATGCAGCTATTTTAATCAGACAAAATAAATGTCAACAGTCATTTTACTCCATATTGAAGAAAGGTATAATTATCCAAAAAGATAAAAGAAATTCTAAAATGGTGTGTATCTAATAACATATTTTTAAAAACATATAAAACAGGGCTTCACAAGACTACAAATTGTGAAAAATACAAATTTTGAGAAAAACACAAATTCACCATTATGAAGAGAGATTTCATAGCAGTTTGCAATTTATTGATAGAGCAAAATTCAACAATTATTGAGCAACAAAATAACAAGCTTTCCTTAATTGACAAATATAAAATTTGAACCCACAATTAAAGCACATCTCATTTTATTGTAACCTTTACAAAATTTGCTCATGAACTAGGTAATAAAGCAATTTCTGACAAATTTAAAGTGTAGATCTGATTAGACCAGTTCTTCAATAAAATTTATTTATATTAGGACTTGAAACATATATAAAAACCCATATATTTTAAATTAAGAAACACACATCTAAATAATTGATGTATCAAGACAATTTAAAAAAGAAAACAAAAATCATTATAATTGACTAGTTATTTAAATGCCACTTAATATAATCTGTGAGGTGTAGTAGCTTTAGAAAAATGTACAAATATTAACTTTTATAGTAGAAAAATAGTTAATATACAAAAGTTTGAAAAATATAAGTAAATGCAAAAATGAGAAGATATGCAAAATCAAGAGCAAGTATTAATAAAATGGAATATAACAATGTAATAAAGTGAATTCACAAAGAAAAAACACTTTTCTGTAATGACTAGTAAAATAAACAAATTTCTAGTAACTGTGATGTACAAAAGATGGAAAAAGCAAAAATAAGCAATACTTTAGGGTTTTAAACATGGCTATAACTGCATATACAGCAGAAGATAAAGGATCAATAAAAATATCATAAATAACCACATGACAAACATTAAAATAGTACATGGAAAAATTTCTGAAAAATATAATTTAACAAAACCAATTCTAGATTTGTAAAAGTCAAAATAGTTCTATAAACACTAAATAAATGGAATTTCCTTTAAAATCTGAGTTCAAAGAAACCACCAGATTCATATTCTACCAAATTCTCAAAAAATAAGTTAATCCAATCTCCACAAAATTTCCATACTATAAAAAAAAGTAACAGTCTAAGAATTATTCTGAGATATTAACATCATCTAATAACGGTTAGAAAAAAAGAGTAGACATGTAAGTCTGATCTCATTTAGCAATGTAGATGAAAAAATTAAAAAGTATTCACAAACTGTTCAGAGTATATCAGAAAATAGATATATCACAATAAATTTTAGTTTACTCTAAAAATGGAATGGTGGTTTGATATTATAAAATCATTTAATGTAATTTATTGTGTTACCATATCATTTCAATCTATGCAGAAAAACTTTTTGATAAAAAAGAGTCCTTCACTATAAAAAATTTTGGCAAACTGGCAATGGAAATTTTCTCAACTTCATAACGAATAACAAGAATCTGCAACAATCATCTTAGCTGTTCTCTTTAACATTCTCTTTAATATCAGGAAGAATGCAAGACTATCTAACTATCACGATTTCTTTTCAACACTGCTCAGGAGATCTTATCAGTATGGTAAAATAAGAAAAGTAAAAAAACTATGAGGAATAGAAAGGAGGGACACTGTCATTATTTGTAGGTGATATGATTGCTTAAATAGGAAACCAAAGTATCTACAAATACATTATTTAAATAAAAATGCTGGCTATAAGAACAATATTTAAAATAAATTACATTTTATACATAAGTAATGCAAATTTTTAGTCATTAAGGCTGAAAGCATCCTATCTAATAAATATACAGGAAATAAAATATATTCTGAACAAGAGAGTTCCTTAACTATTTTTCCTCCTGAATAATGAAAATGCATTCTTATGTGGCCCTTTCACCATTCAATTTGATTTTGTTGAAATATTCCCCTCATCTCTGAAGCTTAAGGGCTAGGTAGTGTAAGATCATCAGACCAGTTCAGTTATTGCTGTCTCAGTACTGTGGGAAGGAAACTGGAGCTGTTAGCAGTACTAGTAGAGGGATCTCGGATTTTTGTTTTTTCTCGTGATTATTGATTCCCATGGTTCAGGATATTCAGCATACTACTTGTCCTGGCCCCTACTCTAGCTATAAGGTATATAACTGTCTGACACTCCCCAGCCTCCACCTACCTCTACCCCTTCACCAACCCACCCTACTTCTTGATTCACTGACTTTGACTATCAGTCTTATCGTAAATTCCTACTACGTTGGAATTCCAACCACTTATACAAATGCATTCTCAAGATCAGGTAAAGTGCATAAAAATTCTAGATTCAGATAGGTCCGAGCCAATGATAGGACCTATTTGTCACCATTAAGATTCTCTTCTTTGGCTTTTTATATTGTTTCTTCTGTCCATTATTCTTCACAAACTAATATGTCTATGGGACAAAATCTGTCAGTATGATATCCTACATATGCCTTCTCTGTACTTACGGTCTTGTTTTTACTATTTCAACATTATGATGAAACATTTGTCAGTGTTTCTTCTTTTAAAATTCATATAAGAGAAAACTATCTGCATATGGCAAGTCCCCAGATCCTCACTATTGTGAAACATTTTCCCTAATTAAAAACATTCATAAAAATTAACTGCAAAGAGTTAGAGGCAAGGTTACTTGAGATTACATCTTATAAGAATATGAAGAAAAATACGCGCTTCATGGCATAATGCGCTCTGCTGAGCAAGAGGCTAGATGTGGCTTTGCTCAAGGCATGAGTTATATACTTAATTTTATACATTAAAATTTAACGACCTTTTAAATGTAATATGCCTTTAACAAACAGCATTTTTTCTTTTCCAATAGCATAATTTCATAGTATTGTAGAAATAATAGTTTAGAACATAGTTGATTTTTTTCTGTATACATTTAACTATTTTTATTAATTTTCAAAAGGTTTTTCTTTAATGGCACTGTCATTTTTTCCAGTTCTGACAAAATTCTGAGATAAAGTGATTTAAAACATAATATATTTCTTTTGGCTTAGAGAAAAATTAAAATTATGCAAATAGAATACTTTTTATTGACTCGTTAAGTCTATCATTACATGTGTATACAGAGCTGTTTTTTCACTCATCATGATTTATGGATTTTGTATATTAAGATGAACTTGGATTAGAGAAAGTGTATTTTGAAATATGTCTCAAGAGGCTTTCAGGGACAACTGAAATAGAAAAAAAGCATTTTTTATGTGGGAGAAATGCTTTCACAATGCACTTATTCCCAAATATTCCTGGCAAGCTTTCACAGGATCTTCATTTTACATTCCTTTTTCCTGTGCAATTTTTTATTTCCCAGCCAACAAATGAAGTAGTGAAAAGAGGGTTACAGAGCAGCAGGGAGAATTGTTGTTATACCAGGTAGCTAGGCAACCAGCACCCATTCTAGTATTTTACACAAAATGTTACTAAAATTTTACATTTGTGGAGAGTGTTTTACATTTTACAAAATGGGTTCATGCTTACATGATCTCACTTGACCCCTGTTTTGTGAGGTATGCAGAAAAACTATCATTATTTCTATTTTGGTGTAATAATGCCAAAGATGGAGTAGATTGAGGCTATTTTTGGATATTATAGTAAATGGTGAAGATACAACTTAACTCAGGAATTCTGATTTTATATTTATTGTTCTTCCTCTGTACCTTGCTACACACAGTGAAATTGCAAATAGCTGACTGACTGATCACAAACAATATTTTCCCAAAGTTCAAAAGCCTTTATAAGTAATCTTAAGAATATTAGTGACCCCTGAAACATATTAATATTATTTACTAAGATTATAGTTTTAAGACTTTGAAGACATCTGTATCTGCATTTTTATTGACATGGTTATTTACTCCAATTATGAAGGAAAAAGTTCAGCAACTAAGATAAAACAATTCTGAACTCTGTGCAAGTATTGAAGTTACAATTATTTCTCTTTTTTTTCTTTTATATATATATATATATTTTATTATACTTTAAGTTCTAGGGTACATGTGCACAACGTGCAAGTTTGTTAAATGTGTATACATGTGCCATGTTGGTGTGCTGCACCCATTAACTCGTCATTTACATTAGGTATATCTCCTAATGCTATCTCTCCCCCCTCCCCCTACTCCACAACAGGCCCCGGTGTGCGATGTTCCCCTTCCTGTGTCCATGTGTTCTCATTGTTCAATTCCCGCCTATGAGTGAGAATATGCGGTGTTTGGTTTTTTCGTCCTTGCGATAGTTTGCTGAGAATGATGGTTTCCAGCTTCATCCATGTCCCTACAAAGGACATGAACTCCTCATTTTTTATGGCTGCATAGTATTCCATGGTGTATATGTGCCACATTTTCTTAATCCAGTCTATCATTGTTGGACATTTGGGTTGGTTCCAAGTCTTTGCTATTGTGAGTAGTGCCGCAATAAACATACGTGTCCATGTGTCTTTATAGCAGCATGATTTATATTCCTTTGGGTATATACCCAGTAATGGGATGGCTGGGTCAAATGGTATTTCTAGTTCTAGATCCCTGAGGAATCGCCACACTGACTTCCACAAAGGTTGAACTAGTTTACAGTCCCACCAACAGTGTAAAAGTGTTCCTATTTCTCCACATCCTCTCCAGCACCTGTTGTTTCCTGACTTTTTAATGATCGCCATTCTAACTGGTGTGAGATGATATCTCATTGTTGTTTTGATTTGCATTTCTCTGATGGCCAGTGATGATGAGCATTTTTTCATGTATCTGTTGGCTGCATAAATGTCTTCTTTTGAGAAGTGTCTGTTCATATCCTTCACCCACTTGTTGATGGGGTTATTTGTTTTTTTTCTTGTAAATTTGTTTGAGTTCATTGTAGATTCTGGATATTAGCCCTTTGTCAGATGAGTAGATTGCAAAAATTTTCTCCCATTCTGTAGGTTGTCTGTTCACTCTGATGGTAGTTTCTTTTGCTGTGCAGAAGCTCTTTAGTTTAATTAGATCCCATTTGTCAATTTTGGCTTATGTTGCCATTGCTTTTGGTGTATTAAACATGAAGTCCTTGCCCATGCCTATGTCCTGAATGGTAATGACTAGGTTTTCTTCTAGGGTTTTTATGGTTTTAGGTCTAACATTGAAGTCTTTAATCCATCTTGAATTAATTTTTGTATAAGGTGTAAGGAAGGGATCCAGTTTCAGCTTTCTACATATGGCTAGCCAGTTTTCCCAGCACCATTTGTTAAATAGGGAATCCTTTCCCCATTTCTTGTTTTTCTCAGGTTTGTCAAAGATCAGATAGTTGTAGATGTGTGTTATTATTTCTGAGGGCTCTGTTCTGTTCCATTGGTCTATATCTCTGTTTTGGTACCAGTACCATGCTGTTTTGGTTACTGTAGCCTTGTAGTGTAGTTTGAAGTCAGGTAGCGTGATGTCTCCAGCTTTGTTCTTTTGGCTTAGGATTGAATTGGCAATGTGGGCTCTTTTTTGGTTCCATATGAACTTTAAAGTAGTTTTTTCCAATTCTGTGAAGAAAGTCATTGGTAGCTTGATGGGGATGGCATTGAATCTGTAAATTACCTTGGGAGCTATGGCCATTTTCACAATATTGATTCTTCCTATCCATGAGCATGGAATGTTCTTCCATTTGTTTGTGTCCTCTTTTATTTCATTGAGCAGTGGTTTGTAGTTCTCCTTGAAGAGGACCTTCACATCGCTTGTAAGTTGGATTCCTCAGTATTTTATTCTCTTTGAAGCAATTATGAATGGGAATTCACTTATGATTTGGTTCTCTGTTTGTCTGATATTGGTGTATAAGAATGCTTGTGATTTTTGCACATTGATTTTGTATCCTGAGACTTTGCTGAAGTTGCTTATCAGCTTAAGGAGATTTGGGCTGAGACGATGGCATTTTCTGAATATACAATCATGTCATCTGCTAACAGGGACAATTTGACTTCCTCTTTTTCTAATTGAATACCCTGTATTTCCTTCTCCTGCCTGATTGCCCTGGTCAGAACTTCCAACACTATGTTGAATAGGAGTGGTGAGAGAGGACATCCCTGTCTTGTGCCCATTTTCAAAGGGAATGCTTCCAGTTTTTGCCCATTCAGTATGATATTGGCTGTGGGTTTGTCATATATAGCTCTTATGATTTTGAGATACGTCCCATCAATACCTAATTTATTGAGAGATTTTAGCATGAAGGGCTGTTGAATTTTGTTGAAGGCCTTTTCTGCATCTATTGAGATGATCATGTGGTTTTTGTCTTTGGTTCTGTTTATATGCTGGATTACGTTTATTGATTTGCGTATGTTGAACCAGCCTTGCATCCTAGGGATGAAGCCCACTTGATCATGGTGGATAAGCTTTTTGATGTGTTGCTGGATTCGGTTTGCTAGTATCTTATTGAGGATTTTTGCATTGATGTTCATAGGGATATTGGTCTAAAATTCTCTTTTTTGGTTGTGTCTCTGCCAGGCTTTGGTATCAGGATGATGCTGGCCTCATAAAATGAGTTAGGGAGGATTCCCTCTTTTTCTGTTGATTGGAATAGTTTCAGAAAGAATGGTACCAGGTCCACCTTGTACCTCTGGTAGAATTTGGCTGTGAATCTGTCTGGTCCTGGACTTTTTTGGTTGGTAAGCTATTAATTATTGCCTCAGTTTCAGAGCCTGTTATTGGTCTATTCAGAGATTCAACTTCTTCCTGGTTTAGTCTTGGGAGGGTGTATGTTTCAAGGAATTTATCCATTTCTTCTAGATTTTCTAGTTTATTTGCACAGAGGTGTTTATAGTATTCTCTGATGGTAGTTTCTATTTCTGTGGGATCAGTGGTGATATCCCCTTTATCATTTTTTATTGCGTCTGTTTGATTCTTCTCTCTTTTCTTCTTTATTAGTTTTGCTAGCGGTCTATCAATTTTGTTGATCTTTTCAAAAAACCAGCTCCTGGATTCATTAATTTTTTGAAGGGTTTTTTGTGTCTCTATTTCCTTCAGTTCTGCTCTGATTTTAGTTATTTCTTGCCTTCTGCTAGCTTTTGAATGTGTTTGCTCTTGCTTTTCTAGTTCTTTTAATTGTGATGTTAGGGTGTCAATTTTGGATCTTTCCTGCTTTCTCTTGTGGGCATTTAGTGCTATAAATTTCCCTCTACACACTGCTTTAAATGTGTCTGATAGATTCTGGTATGTTGTGCCTTTGTTCTCATTGGATTCAAAGAACATCTTTATTTCTGCCTTCATTTCATTATGTACCCAGTAGTCATTCAGGAGCAGGTTGTTCAGTTTCCATATAGTTGAGCGGTTTTGAGTGAGTTTCTTAATTCTGAGTTCTAGTTTGATTGCACTGTGGTCTGAGAGACAGTTTGTTATAATTTCTGTTCTTTTACATTTGCTGAGGAGTGCTTTACTTCCAACTATGTGGTCAATTTTGGAATAGGTGTGGTGTAGTGTTGAAAAGAATGTATATTCTGTTGATTTGGGGTGCAGAGTCTGTAGATGTCTATTAGGTCTGCTTGGTGCCTAGCTGAGTTCAATTCCTGAATATCCTTGTTAACTTTCTGTCTCATTGATCTGTCTAATGTTGAAAGTGGGGTGTTAAAGTTTCCCATTATTATTGTGTGGGAGTCTAAGTCTCTTTGTAGTTCTCTAAGGACTTGCTTTATGAATCTGGGTGCTTCTGTATTGGGTGAATATATATTTAGGATAGTTAGCTCTTCTTGTTGAATTGATCCCTTTCCCATTATGTAATGGCCTTCTTTGTCTCTTTTGATCTTTGTTGGTTTAAAGTCTGTTTTATCAGAGACTAGGATTGCAACCCCTGCCTTTTTTTGTTTTCCATTTGCTTGGTAGATCTTCCTCCATCCTTTTATTTTGAGCCTATGTGTGTCTCTGCACTTGAGAAGGGTTTTCTGAATACAGCACACTGGTGGATCTTGACTCTTTGTCCAATTTGCCAGTCTGTGTCTTTTAATTGGAGCATTTAGCCCATTTACTTTTAAGGTTAATATTGTTATGTGTGAATTTGATCCTGTCATTATGATGTTAGCTGGTTATTTTGCTCTTTAGTTGATGCAGTTTCTTCCTAGCACTGATGGTCTTTACAATTTGGCATGTTTTTGCAGTGGCTGGTACAGGTTGTTCCTTTCCATGTTTAGTGCTTCCTTCAGGAGCTCTTTTAGGGCAGGCCTGGTGGTGACAAAATCTCAGCATTTGCTTGTCTGCAAAGTATTTTATTTCTCCTTCACTTAGAAGCTTAGTTTGGCTGGATATGAAATTCTGGGTTAATACCCAGGCAAACAGGTTTGGAGTGTCCCTCCAGCAAATTTTTTTTTAACTAAAGACTGTTTTAAATTACTTTAAACAAAATGCACATTTCATCCAAGTTTCGGAAGTATAAGATTAAAACTTGGTCGTGATGTACCTTCGTATCTTTTATAAATAAACCTGTAACTTTGGGACTAGCTTTACCAATGTCTGAAGTGGGAGTTTTTATCTGATTGCTGTGAGAGAACAAAATCAAGGGTACAGGTGAAGTAGAAAATTTCGCAGACCAATGGGCATAAAGTCTGTTATTCAAAATAAATAACTTATAGAGATTTACTGTACGGCATTGTCCCTATAATTAACAATAGTGCATTGTACACCTAAAGTTCTTTAAGAGGGTAGATCTCATTTTAAGTATTCGTACCACAATAAAGTAACATTTGAAAAGGAGAGGTTGTGCAAGAAGCAGAAGTGTTGGGATATAGAATATTAAACAAGAGTCTAGAGAATTGATAGGGACCAAAAGTGAGAATCAAAGTCATAGAATAAAGTCTGATTCCAGGATGAGAAAATAATTGATAAATATGAATGAGAACCAATTTGGTGGAAGAAGGCAGAAGCCAGGGTTCATACCTAATTATATGGAGCAACTGTTGTTACTTGTAACATTGTGATTGAATGAACAAAAATAGCTCAATGGCTTGGGGCAGTATAGACAGTATCATGTCCGTTGTTCTTTCAATATCTCAGCTGCATTCTCCTTCTCTGGTGGAAGATATCCTGAGCCCACCTGCACACAGCAATTAAATAATTTTTATCATTCCTAAGTATACTTGAAATATACTTGAAATGCAAAGTATTCTAAGCATGGGAAGGACAAATCCTCATCACAGTAGTTGGTTGGCATTGAAGCTGACCATAGGGCTGGTGGAACGTACAGTTTCTAATAATGTATTATTTTTCCTTATAGTAACAGATCTGGGCAGAGGTTGAGAAATGGTGATGTGTTAGGAATGTAGAATCCTGACAAGATAAGCAGAAAAGCAAAATGCCATTGGATTGACTATTCATTTCCTAAAATGTATCAGGTGATGATCTTACAGTTTTCCTCAAGCAAGAAGATGTGGTATATTTGTTGTATCTGTTATTTTTACATATAATTCTGGTTACCAACTTCAACATAATGTTTGCATAAATTTTTCAGCACCAGTGGATGCTTCTTAAGTGAATGACCTGTAAGCTTCCCGGGTACTATCTAGCTGGTGGAATTCCAAGTGGTGAATAAGTGACTGTTAGAACTCAGGATAGAGCAGCAAGAGTTATCATCATTTCAAAAATTTTTTCCACCTAACCTTAATCTAGTCCACTCTAAGCTACATATAAATAAAATTATTTCATGTATGTTGCATAGGTCATGCATAAAGTTTGACTAATTACATTTTTATTTCGGTAATATATCTTAGGGTTTAAACAAATATATTTTATTATAAATTAGTTCATTCAGATAATATTTGAACCTATTCTAAAGGTTGTAAAAGTATTTTACAATTAACTTAAACTTGATAATTTTATGAAACAAATGGACTTATAAATTTAGGGGCAGAGGCTGCAGACGGTGACTCATGCCTGTAATCCCAGCACCTTGGGAGACTGAGGCGGGAGGATCACCTGAGGTCAGGAGATCAGCTTGCCCAACATGGCAAAACCCTGACTCTACTAAAAATATAAAAATTAGCCGGGCGTGGTGTCATCTGCCTGTAAGCCCAGCTACTCTGGAGGCTGTGACAGGAGAATTGATTGAACCCAGGAGGCGGAGGTTGCAGTGAGCTGAAATTGCGCCACTGCACTCCAGCCTGGGCAACAGAGTGAGACTCTGTCTCAAAAAAAGGAAAAAAATTAGAGACAGAAAGATCAATAACCATGACTGACACGCACCTCTGCACCCTTGCTGTTAGTTTGAAAATAAAATGCAAAATCTCACCAGTTTGTCCGAATGTAATTGTCTTCATATGTATTTAGAAATTCTTTCTAGTTCCTTCACCATCTGATGCAGAATTTCTGCCTCAGCTCTAAAATAAAAACAGCTATATTCAGATTAATACTAAATTATCAAAGAATTTATAGGTGAATCAGTAAAAAGTTCATAGAAAATATAAAAATGTTCCCTTCTTTTCTTCCTTTAAAAAAACTTAGATGTAGCTGTTCATAATAAAAATGAGGTAGTATAAGATATATATACATATATATGCACACACAGATACATACATATATGTATATGAAAATATATATGGATTTGTATATCGGAAATACATACCTTAGGTGGCAGATAATCCTGAGAGATTAGCCTTGCAATTGAGTCAGGCAGTCAGGTAATTTGAGTTCCAAATTTATCTACTATTTTTGTTGTAAGTTGGTTTCTCTAGAACAGATGCTGAAATAACAATTGGGATAAAATACGTTTGTTAGGGATCAACACATGTGAAGAGAAGGAGGGGAAGCAGAATTGGATAGAAGAAGTCAAGTGATTCAAGCTCAGCAAAGCTTCAGCTAATCCACTAGGGAGCTTTAGAGAGAGAATTGCCCTTCAGAGAGTCCTACACTGAGATAAAATGGCGAGACCTTCATAAACCTTTCGCATTCATTCATCAGGCATGGGCTTCCCTGGGAAAACCATGACCTTGAGTGAGAAATTATTGTAAAATTATTTAGTTGTTCTAAGGATTGTGCTTGTGTTTGAAAAGGAATCGTATTTTTTAGAATACTTACTAAAATATTTATGGATATAATTAGATGTTGTGTGAGATAAAGTTAAAAAAACAAAAACAAGACAAGGGCCAAATTGCAATTGGTTTCCAATGACCAAAGCTGGGACAATTTGAGTATGCTCTCGCTCCCCAGAAAAAGACCACAAGGTATCAAAACACCTAAAGTCTATGAGTATACATGAGTTCATAATAACATTTGAAAATAACATCATATCAAGTGGTTGCTTTAACATCTAATTCATTACTTTGTAAATAAATAAGAGAAACAGCCTAACATTTTTTCTGCCTATCTTATATGAATATATTTTGGAATAATCAAATATTTGAAAAAATTTTATACAAGAATTTCATGTCATAGAGAATAAATGTTAGAATAGAAAAATTATTTTTAACAACCCTTAACAAAATAATGGATTTTGGCAATGATCATCAAAGGATGCTTAAACATTAAGTAAAATATTGATGTAAAAACTAATTGATGAACCAGGTTGAAGCTACTGAACCACTTGCCCATTTGGGACAATCATATATATTATGCACCCTCCTGATAAGATGCATTAAGATACACATGGCACCCCCCATGTAAAGTAGTGTAATCAAGCCTCTTGATCTAACCGTGAGTATGAAATATGGGAGATAGAGAAACAATGTAAATAGCTGCAAAATCCAAATCCTAAAGAAATGCAGAAAACATTACAAAACACAGTTTTTTCAACAAATAATTGGTGTGAAAAATATAAGGATGAAGAATTATTTTAAATTTAAATAGTCTTATAAGACATACTAACCAAATGCAATTGTGTGGATCTTACTTGGATTCTGATTTGAGCAAATCAACTATATAGAAAAATTGTATCATGGCAAAAGTATTGATGATATTATGAAAATATCATCATTTTTGTAGGTGAGATAATGTCATTGTGGTTATGTTAAAAGGTTTTATTTGTTTGAAATGTACACTGAGTTATTTGTGGGTGAAGTATTTATAGTATACAAAAATCCACATTTTTAAATTGTACACCACCTAAAATAACCTTGTTTACTTCTACCAGCAATACTTTAGTGTAGTATCTCTCCATCCACACAGTCCACATCTGAGGATTCAACCATCTGAGGATCAAAAATATTTGAAAAAATAATAACAATACAGCAATTAAAATCATACAAATAAAAATACAACATAATTATTTATATAGTATTCACATGGTATTCATTATTATAAGTAATCTAGAGATTATTTAAAATATCCAGGAGCATGTTTATAAGCCATATGCAAATACTATGCCATTTACAAAAAGAACTTTAGCATTTGTGGATTTTGGTATAGGGAGCAGGTGATCTTGGAGCCAATTCTCCATGGATACCAAAGAATAACTCTGTATCTATGTGGCACCTGAATCCTTGCCACTTCCACACTAGATATAAGTTCCTGATGTCAGACAGATCTTGCTGTTCTGGTTCCCCATCCCCTAGCATAGCACCTAACTTATGTTAAGTATTAAGTAAATGTTTCTTAAATGAATAAACACATGTAACTAGTATAACTTGCAAATTCATATTATCAATTTTGATCAACTTTTAGATTAAGGAGAGGTATTATTGAAGTAACTCCTTTTCACACCAAATTCTCTGAATTCTGCATTGGTCAGCACTGCTCTGATTTTTCTTAGGAAAAGCACAGGTTTAGATTGTAGAGTTGATTTATTTATTACACATAATTTATCCACCCCAAAATACTTGAGATATTAAACATTTTTCTGTGTTTTCATTGATAGAATGTAACAATGCTATCAAGCAGATAATTTCATCATTTTTAAAAATGTCTGATGACTTTTAACTAAAACGTGATTCTACAGGTGCATTTTCTCTGTACAAATTATGGTCTTAAATTTTAGTATCCCTGACAACCACTTTTGATCCTTTGATTTAAGAGATTTATGGAGGTTTTTGGCAAAATAATGTTGAAATGCTCTAAAATGAGAGATACATGTATTTGTGATTACCAATAAATCGATCCAAACCAATGAACATGAGAATCGTGGATAGCTATGGGTTTGAAAACTCTTATCCTAACTATCAAGAAGAATGGTTCACATGATGACAGGGCAGGTTATGAAACTCATTCAGAATTATTGATAACTTGAAAATATGAGAATAGAGTATTTATACACTTATGTTCAGAAGGAAACTGAAATCTGGCATTTGATAGAAGCCGGGACATATAGAAACTGATATACCTTCTATAGCTTAATTATTTCATATAAGAAAAAATCTCACTATTATCACTAGAATATTTGAGAAATGTTTATTTCCTTGTTTGCTATTGCTTGGGAGGGGAAGAGTAGTTGAAAACTAGAAAGTGAGACTAAGGTAGATGTTACAAAGTGAGTAAATTTACAGCCAACAAACTTATAATATGATCTGAAACATATCTAAAAGTAAGTCCTTTAATAGGTATAATGTCTTCACATACCAAAAATTCCTACTAGTATTTCACTTACTCTTTATCATTTGAAAGCTTGCCCGCTTTGTTATGCAAACTGTGAATGGTATGTCTCCGTAATTAAACATTTTAATTGGCTTATGAATTAAACTCAAAATGTCTTAGTACTATCTAATTTTAAAATGCTGTCAATAGGCTTGCTAATTCTGCATGTATTTACTTAGCACCTATTCTATAGAAGATGTTCTGTCAGATAATGAGGAATAAAGTGAATAAAACAAAAGACAATGAGCACACATTTCAACTATGGTGATTATCCCAGTGCATTGTGATTGCTTTGTTATATGTTTGACCACTTTTGGTTGACTTAAAGAAGTGTGTGTGTGTGTGTGTGTGTGCGCGCGCACATATGTGTGTGTGCATGTGTATGTGCATTCTAAATTATGTAGAAAGTATTCCAACTGTGATCATAAAAAAAAAGTTTGAAAAATACTGCACTTAGCTGTGAGTCGCCTGAGAATAGAGACTATTTCAACTATTTTATCTGTTTCTCTTGAAACCAACACTAGAACTGGAATATTGTAGGTACTCCATATTGGTTGAATCTTGGGCAAAAGAAAAAAGGAAACATTTTTGTTAGTATAGTGATAAAGTTCTTGTAGTCATTAAACCTCAAGACAAAGATGTTAGAGCAATAAGGTTGTGTTATTTTTGTTGTAAATGCCATCTAGGTTATTTGAAGGCTACCCTTTAGGGAAAAGAAATGTCAAGAAAAAGTTCTATCATGATGGAGAGTGTTATTGGGAGGTGCTAGGTGAGCATGTCAGCTAGGGCTGAGCAGGAGAACCGGGGCATCAAATCTGGTTTGGACTTCCTTGAGAAAGTGGGAAACAGTCACACATTGGGATGAAGTCTAAAAAGAGAGGTTAAAGCGCTAAGGTGCAAGAGGAATAGGAGGTGCAACCCAGCTTTTAGGAGTTGGGGGATTGGCAGCTATAGCAATGGGAAAGAAAAATTAAGAAGGCAAAGGCAGGATCCTAGATCTTCAGCTGGCTGAGGGACCACATGCTGATGAAGGAAATGGGGAAAAATGGAAAAGGGATGACTGAGTCTTATAGCGGTGTTGGGCATAGCAGTGAGCATCAGATCTCTATGAAGTTATGGGCTCTACCATAGTAAACACAGAACATATTGAGATAATGTGAAATCCGTTCTGTCTGGCTCAAACAAAGAGATAGTCTAGGACAATACAAAGGAAAGACAGGTTTTTGATAGGAAATCCGAGGTAAGGAATGGGGGACGTTATTTACAGGAATGGGGGAAGTTATTAAATTTTTTGAATGGGAGAGTTAGAATATGATATGTATGCATTATGGCAGTGTCCAGAATGAGCGGAAGAGGGAAGAGATAGAAAACAGTAGGGAACTATTGCAATAGATGGTAGAAATAATAACCTTTGCTGTGTGACAGGCATGGTACTTAGCATTTATGTGCCTTACCCACATTTAATCTACAATAATCTTATCAATTAGATACTGATTTCACCCCCATTTTACAGTTGCAGAATCTGAAACAAAGAAAGACTACATGACTTGCTAAGGTAAAAGAAGCTGGAAGGCAGGAGGGTAGAGTCAGGAAGCAATGCCTGAGGGTATAAACTGAGCCCTCAATTACCAAGCCACATTATCTCTATAGATATCATTCTACATCCAGTATTATATTCCTCATACATTTTAGAACAAAATAGCTCTTTCAGTGAAGTTTTTCAAGTTTAAGTTAACTTCTTTTTAAATCTCCAATTAGTCTCTTGTAGCATAAACCAATTAGGCATATGTTTGAGAACAACTTGGCAGATTTCACTATAATATAGCAAGCCTGGGCTCTTATTATCCCTTCCATGTGTGTCCTTTAGAGCCTTAGACACAGTCTTTGGCTGACTTTGGGTATTGATTCCATTTTGCTGCCAACATTCTTCAATTGATGTAGAAAATCCAGGCTGATCTATTAATATACCTAAGTCTGCCTTCTGCAGCATAGGGTTGAAGTGAATTTTTAAAGAACGTGTTTGTAGTCAGCTGTATTTCTAGACCTTTTCACATAGGATCACCAACAATAAGGTCCAAAAATTAGATGTCTGACTCATTCAAGACCCCTTCTCAGGGTTCTGAATTCTCATTCAGAATTTTGTATTATAAAACCTCTGCAGCCACAGCTTTCCTATTATTGTACATAAACCATTCATTCTACCTTCTGGCCAAGTTATCCTCTATTCTTCAAAATGCTTGATTTCTATGCTTCCTTTTTCATATATTTACTGCTTATCTGAATTCTATTCATTGTTCAAAGCCAGCATCACATCCCACTTCTGCCAATGGCCAACTACTGAGCCCTGGTGTTATTTCCTATTCACTTCCATGGCACTGATTAGAAGTAGCACTCATTAGTAAGTATATCTTTGACTCCCTTATGTGGTTAAGCATATTTTTATGTGACCATGTCACTCTTAGTTCAGTAGGTGATAGACACTCCCTTCCCCAACTATAGCAGGGTCTTGGCCTTAGCATTAATTTATATTTCTGATTAGCATATACCATTTTACTTCACACACTGCAAACATACAAGTACTTTTATTTAGCATTTTTAAAAATTATCAAATAGTGCTTATTTTCTTATGATTAAGTACAAGAGTATATATGACATCTTTATTATAGGAGTTCTAAACTCAGGGAAAAGACAGATACAAATTTAGCAAGTCATTTGGAGATTACATATGTTGTATAAAATGGAAAAAAAATACTGCCGTATAGGACTGCAGGTGCAAAACTGCCAGACTTTGCTTGCTTTTTTTTTTTCTTTAAGACAATCCAGAAATTCACATTCTCTTGTAAAATTTATTCAATGTTCAATATTTGCTGAAACAAGTTTTAAATACTATGCAAGAAAAACACATCTGTTGACCCATTTATCAGCCCACGTTTGTGCCTTCTAATGTACATATATTTGTCATTTCAATATAATATTTAGAACACTGTACTCACAAGCATGAAAAAATAATTGAATTTATTAACATACACTATTTGTTTCTATAAACCATAATGTAATACAAAATAAAAAGGACTGAGAACTATTACAAAATTTTATTCCACACATGTATTTCAACAAGATTTTATGAACAATTTTGTATTGCACAGAAATGCAGTACTGATGGGAAATTCAACCATCAATTATAGGATGAATTACTGTATCATTTATAGAAGTATTAATATAGACATTTTTTGGGGCCCAATAGCAGTTGCCAGATTCTATATCTGCAAGAATCAAACATTTCTGTGAAGACTCAGAGAAGTGTGATCATTGCATATCCCCCCCATCCCTTGAGATTAGATTTCACTTCATTTCAACCAACATATATTAAATGTCTGCTTTGAGTAAGACCTCATCATGGTAGATGCTACAGATAACACAAAAATGAGTAATATACTTTACCTTCTCTGTACCTCTGTTCATATCTTTGCCTATCTAAATTCTTCCTCTTCCTTCGAAGCTTAAGTCTTATTTAACCTTTCCTAAATCTAGTTGATGGGCAAAACACATAATCAAATAAGTATAGTACAAAATACACTATGACAAGTTCTTTAAAGGCGACATCCAAAAAATTATCTGGGTGCACAAAAATTGCAAAGTAAGCCTCTACTAGTTTTACCACGATTCAAACTTATTCATTCAAATTATCAGTTGCAATCACATGCAAAGAAAGCATATCCCTGCAAAGACAATGGAAAGCAGCTTTCTGCTGACTCTGAGCGCACTGCCTATAAGTTAGCCCTGCTCCACAAGGAGCAGTAAATAAAAATAAATTTTTTAAAAGAGAAAAAAGCAGCTTTGTACTAATGGGATGAGGAGGCTTGTGATATAATATGAATAACTAAGCCAACAACCAGCCCAGGAGATAGTCTAAAGTATTCTAATTGACATTTCAATATGTTAGAGATGAAATATATTGTTATTCAATCATCTATTAAAAATGCTGGTTGTCTTCCATGGGCCTTACACTATTCTAGATGCTGAAGATGCAGCTGTAAGTAATACTGTCAAGGTTCCCTCTTCCTGGTACATATATTATAGTGACAAAGACAGATAAGCAAGAATGATAATTTCAGTTGGAAAGAAATGCTTTGGTGAAAATAACACAGCATAACATAATAAAAAGTGACCAGTAGGAACTGAAAGCAACCTTAATTAGGTTGTCCATTAAACTTCTCTTGGAGGAAATGATATTTGATCAGAGTTCTAGTGATGAGGGGTAACCAGAATGTGACTGTCAAGGAGCCAGGCAGACTTGACATTGCCTTTGCAGAGAAGTGTGACAAGATCCAGAGTGAGAAAGAAGAGGAATGGTGGGAAAAGAAAGCACATCACACCTGGATTTGTTAACTAGCATAAGGACTTTGGAACTTACGTGAAATATAATGGGCAGCCATTGAAAAATTTTGAGCAAGGAACTGATACTGTATGATTTATGTATTGAAAGATTACTTTGGCCTAATCTTTTGGTTGATACAAAAGCTTAGGAAGGGGAGCAATAGGATTGGAGGACATATATAATATTATATATTATAATATATAATATTATGGAGGATGTATATAAAATATGATAATATATACACATTATATATATATACAACCCCTGAAATATCTATGGCTTACAAGGCCATTTTTCATTCAGGTTACCTGTCAGCTGCTACAGTTAAACCACTGTAGATGTGTTCTGTGTGTCATTTTAACCCAAGGCCACATTGAAGGAGCAGTCCCTATTTGTGATGTATTATCCTTATAGCAGAGAGAAAAGAGCAAGAGGTAGAGCCTTATCTTGAAATTGTTCTTAAAGTTTCTGTCAGATGTGATATAGTCACATATATTGCCATTGGCCAAGGCAAGTCACATGACCAAGCATAGCAATGGGATGGGACAGCATTGGAGGCACTGCCCGTGAAGCAGCAACATGCTAGTGTACACAGTACTTCACAGAGGAGGGAGTGCATAGCTGGAGGTGATGATATAATCTACCAGGATAGGTATAAATAGGGGAAAAATTGTTGATGAAAATGGCTTCAGCAGCGTACAAATCTCCAGCACTGGATTCTAGTTACAGGTGAAAGAATTATCTAGTATCTAACCTGGCTTTGCCACTAGCAAACTTGTAATCCTGTCCAATTCACTTAACCTGCTTGAGCTTCCTTTTTATCTGTAAAATACTAAGTTTATACTAGAATCACGGAATATTATCTTGGCTTTCAAGAGTTCTTGGTTAACAGTGGGTTCACCTAATGATATATAAAAATTTTATGATATCTGAGTAGGTACATTTTCTGGAGAAAGGCTACTCAGCTGCTCAAAATCACTGGGACCTGAAGATAACAAATAACTTAAAAACAATACATGATTTATAAGATTCACAGTGAGCTTTAAATGTCTAGATTCACACCTGCCAAGGCATATCACATCCCCAAGTTTAATGAATCTTTTTTCCAATTCCAAATTTTTTTATGAAAGCATACTAATTGTAAGAAGAAAAACAATACAAAGGAACAATTAGCAGTCTCCAAACACCATCTAAATAATTGATATCAACTCCCTGGTATGAATTATTCTATGTTATTTTCCATGAAGATACGGGCATATATGGCCACTTCTATAATGCATAATTTATATCTTGCTTGCTTCATACAAAAGAGATGATGCAAATGAGTTTGGACTGGATATTTTCTGTAACTTATTTCTCCACATAATATATCATCAATATCCTTCCAGCATAGTATATATAGATTGAATTTATCTTTAATACCTTTATATTTGTTCATGGTGTGCATATTTTTAATACTTGAGACCATTTACCTATTAAAGGACATTAAGATTTTCTTCATAACATTTTCATCATAAGCATGTTGATAGAAATATGTTTGCACATGCATCTTTACACATATGTCTTTATATCTTGGGATAGAGTCTTTCAAGTGGGATTGCTCTGCCAAGAAAATGTGTACTCTTAGTTTTGTTGGCATAGTAGATGTAGATCGTGCACTGCACAGATCTTCCCTTTGGGTCTGTGGCATTCATTTCCAAACTGCTAGGAATGTTGACGTCCGACATCTCTCAGCTGAATTCCTCTCTGGTACTTGTTTTTCATTAAAGAGAGCTGAATAAACCAGGGTTGTAATCTTTTCTTGGGGGCATCCCACACCAAAAGATTGGTTGATGCAAGGGTACAAAGGTCTCATTTTTCCTCCAAATTGGGATAACTCTAAAGGGCTATCCCATGTCCAGATCTCCTGATATGATTGGCTGGGCTTTTGTTGCAACTGCAGCAAAACTCAACCTATCTTTCTGCCCACTTCCGTTTCCTTCATTCTCCCACATAAACTTATACAAAGCTTACTTTCCAATAGACTTGGTGCACATTAATCCCAGTAATCTCCATCTCTGCTCTGCAGGGAACTTAGCCAGTGACGATGGCAGATTCATTTCTGTAATTACTGCTCAGGCTTCTCTGGCAATCAGGAAGTCAAACCTAACAGCATTAGTCTTGAGGCTTATCAACATAGTGTAGTTTCTATAGGATGAAGCATCCTATCACACAGATTTTCTAAGCACCAACTTGTCTGATTGAAATGAGTCTTCTATAATGAAAATCCACTACAGTGAATGACTTGTTTACTTTGTCCAGTTTCTATAATCAAATTGCCTCTCTGTAGGACATTTATATAATACATTTACTTGATATGATTTTTTTTCTTCAGTGAGCTGTGGGTTTACTATTTACTGTGAATGAAGCAAACATGCTTAGAAAGTACTTACAAAGCCAGAATTTCTGTTTACTAGGTATGGAAAACCAAAAGTCAATGTCTTTAAGATTGCTCTCAATTTCTGTGCACAGCTAGTTTTCCACCATTTTGTCTAAAACCTCAATCTATTCCTCAGAGTTAGACAATTACGTAGGAACTTTCCAGGCAATCCACTCCTGTAGCAGCCTTTTCAAGGTGCTCCCCAACTCTTTTGTGAATGCAACATACAGAATCCACAAAGGGAGACTTGTGAGAGGAAGGAAGAAGAAAAGAAAATAACAAGGATGGGAAGAAGAAACTCCTTTGAAAGCAATAGTAAAAATAAACTCCAGTTGCTTTCTTTGTGAGTAGCTGAATATCCATTGATAAATTTGTCAGAATATTTGATGTTTCAGTAGACATACTTAATTTTAAAAACTTCTATAACCACCAAATATTACCTTTAAAAATGTAAAAACAATGCAAAGCAGATGTATCCAGAAGCATGTGAAATGTGCTCTGTAAAATCAACAATGGAGTATAGAATAATAACTCTAATGTCATAAAACTAGACTTTTTAAGATTTACTTTAAGTGGGTAAGAGGAGGCCAATGTTGAAAGAATATAAGTTGATAAGCTTCCTTGTAATGGTCGATAATAAATCACCATTTAATTTTGCCCATGTCAGAAAAAAAAAGTGAAAAGAAAATCTTTACTGAGCTTCAAGCTATTCCATGTGCTGCACAGAAATACAATAGATCAATTTCATTACCTGAAAGTCAGTGATTGACGTTTTGAGTGTCAGTTTGAAATATGGCTGTGACAAACCTCATCCAATTAAAGAATATCCCCACTCCCAAAGAAAAATTTTCTGCAGCTCCAAACTGGGGGACATCATTGTGCTTATGATAAAGTCCATGGCAGTAGCTGACATTAGAGTTCTCCTTTATTGTCTACATAGTGCCTTGCTAATTAGCTCAGCTTCACTCTGGGAAGAGCTGTCTATCTGGAGTAGGAGAAGTTATTCTTTCTCAGTGCCAGATTGCTCCTAATTCCTTTCTGAAAAGAAAGTGTCAGTCATGCTTAATTGTATTAAATTAGGTGTGATGTTTTAAAACAGCACAGCCTCCTTAAAGCTCAACTAAATCATGCAAATTTTTATTTGCAAGTTTTTCTTAGGGATTTCAAAAGGGGAGGGGGTACGAATAGAGAGTAAGTCACAAAGATCACATGCTTCAAAGGGCAATAAAGATCACAAGGCAAAATTAGAATTACTGATGAGGTTCCATGTCCCGCTGGGCACGTATTGTCTTGATAAACATCTTAACAAGAAACAGGGTTCAAGAGCAGACAACTGGTCTGACTAGAAATCACCAGGCTGGAATTTCCTAATCCTAGCAAGCCTGAGGGCACTGCAGGAGACCAGGGCATATTTCATCCCTTATCTTCAACCACGTAAGACAGACACTCCCAGAGTGGCCGTTCATATACCCACCCCTGGGAATGCATTCCTTCCCCAGGGTTATTCCTTGCTGGGAAAAGAATTCAGTGATATTTCTCCTATTCACTTTTTGCAAAAAGAGAAATATGACTTTGTTCTGCCTGGTCCCGCAGGCAGTCAGACCTTATGGTTATCTCCCTTGTTCCCTGAAAATCGCTGTTATCCTGTTCTTTTTTAGGATGCCCAGATTTCATATTGTTCAAACACACAGGTTTTACAAACAATTTGTGCAGTTAACGCAATCATCACAAGGTCCTGGGGCAACATACATCCTCAGCTTATGAAGATGATGGGATTAAGAGATTAAAGTAAAGACAGGTGTAGGAAATTATAAGAGTATTGATTGGGGAAGTGATAAATGTCCATGAAATCTTCATAATTTATGTTCAGAGATTGCAGTAAAGACAGGCATTAAGAAATTATAAAAGTATTAATTTGGGGAACTAATAAATGTCCGTGAAATCTTCACAATTTATGTTCTTCTGCCACGGCTTCAGCCAGTCCCTCTGTTCGGGGTCCCTGACTTCCCGCAACAATGAGTCATGTAAGTGTGCCATTTTACAACTAATCCACCTAGCCCACTTACACCCCTGCCAACATCTGACTGCAACCAAATGAGAATTGCCCTTCCCAAACTTCTGGACCACAAATGGTAAACAAAATGAAATAGTTATTATTTTATACCACTAAACTGGAGTACAATTTTATAGGCAGCAATAGTAACTAGAACAAAAATTTGGTACCAGAGTATGGCAGTCAAACTCACAGAAATATTGAATACCTGTCTAGTTTCTACTTATCATGCTAGTGTATAAACAGGCAAGGAAGAAGTTTTACTCTACTAGCTGTGTGATTGATCCTCACTTTCAATGGGGACTAAGATGCTTTATACAATGGAACTGAGGAGAAGAATGTCTAGAATGGAGAATATCTCCTGAAGTGCTTCCTCTTATGTCCTGTGGTAAAAGTCAAGAAACAATAACAACCCAATATAGGCAGCATTGCTAAAGATGCAGACCTTTTAGAAATGAAGGTTTGGGTCACCCACTAAGAAAGGAAGCATGACCAGCTGAAAAGCTGACTGAGGGCAAAGAGAAAGTAGAATGGGTAATAAAGAAAATTATAAATAATAGCAGAAACAAGAGTCTGCAATAGTTATAATATTTATTCCTTATTGTCTATTAATATATATGTGTAGATGTGAATCAATTCTCTTCCCCCACCACCTCCCCCTATCTAGCATAGAATGTATTAATTCTAGTTATCCTCATATCTTATTACTTAAATTACAAAATATCAAAAGAGGAGAGTGACTCTGCTAGAAGAAGAATACCCATCATTTAAAGATAAAAAGGGGGTGAACAAATGGATGACCAGACTCTGGTCTGAAGTAGAGAGAAGCTGGAAGCCCTGAATGGGGTTGCCAAGCACTGGGACTAATTCCTAGCCCCAAGCAACTCCTAGGGAAGGGTTGAGTTAGACAGGCATGGAGTGGCCTACTTCTGCATGGAACTCTGGAATCCTAGCCGCAGGAGATCCCACAACCTCCATGGAAATTGGAGTTGGCAAGGAGAACTGCTTGGAGAGTTGGCAGGAACAGGACTCCAGGCAGTGTGGAGCCCAGAGGGTTTGGTGCAGGCGTGGCTGCAGTGAAGAATGGACAGGGATGCCCATCCCTCAATGCTTGCCCTGCTCCTCTAGGCAGGTTTGGCTTTTGTTTACTGTCAGATACAGACAAAGCATGGCTGTCTTGCCCATGGGATGAGGTTAGTATGATCTGAACACCCCTCTATCTGACAGGCTCTCCTGGGGTGCCTGCCTGGCCATGTCCACTTGCAGTGCAGCCTTCATTACCCAACCAGGGTGCTTCTCAGTGGCCACTTCTATAACTCCTTTATCAGCAGAACCTGCCTATCCATCAGAGAGCTTCTGCAGGTGGGCCCTCACCAGCACTCACCCACCTGCAGCCTCCCCAGATTGCTTTGCCAGCACATGATTGCCCATTGCCTACCCCTTGCCACCACTGGTGTGCACACACAATTACAGACCCTGATACCACACTGTCTTCCTGCAACCAACAGCATGCAAGCACCAATCCCACTGTGCCACCGTCCTGCTGCTCCTGGTGTGTGCATGCATGCATAAGAGTGGACCCAGTGCCATTGCCCCAAGAAGTGCTTTTGCTAGGACTCCCCATTGGAGTGGTGTTGCCAGCAGACCAGGAAAATCTCAGCCCCTCCAGCACAGCAGGTGCTTAACCTTAAAGGGTCAGAGAACAGAGTGCTGAGCTGAGCCTTGGCCCCCTGAAATTGTCCAGAAATGAAGCTAGTCAACTAAACCCAAATTATACCACCATCGAACCCTCAGATGCATCAAAGAATATAAAATCAAAAAGCCCTATCCAAAGGGCAGCAATGTCAAACCTTAAAGGAACATTGGCCCACACAAATGAGAAAGAACCAGTGCAAGAGCTCTGGCAAGTTAAAAGCCAGAGTGTCTCCTTACCTCCCAATGACTGGACTAGCTCCCCAGCAATGGTTTTTAACAAGGCTGAGATGGCTAAAATGATGGACTTGGAATTCAGAATCAGGGTGGAAATGAAGATCATAAAGATTCAGGAGAAAGTTGAAACTCAACACAAGGAATCTAAGGAGTCCAGTAAAATACAAGAGATGAAAATCAAAATAGCCATTTTAAGAAAGAAAACTCACTACAAGAATTTTATAATACAATTAGTATTAATAGCAGAATATACCAGGCAGGAAAGAATCTCAGTGCTCAGAAATCACTTCTTCAACTCACTTCAGTCAGAAAAAAATAAAGAAAAAAGAATAAAAAAGAATGAATAAAACCTCCAAGTGATATGAGATTATGTAAAGGCCAAACCTACAACTCATTGGCAACCCTGAAAGAGGGAGAGAGATCAAACAACTTGGAAAATATATTTGAGGATATCATCCCTGAACATTTCCCCAGCCTCACTAGACAGGTAAACATTCAAAGTCAGAAAATTCAGAGAACCCCTGCAAGATACTATATAAGACAACCATCCCTAAGACACATACTCATCAGATTCTCCAAGGTCAACATGAAAGTAAAGGCAGCTAGAGAAAAGTGGCTGGTCACCTATAAAGGGAACCACACAAGGCTAACAGAAGGTCTTTCATGAGAACCTCTACAATCCAGAAGAGATTGGAGGTCTATATTCAGCATTCTTAAAGAAAAGAAATTCCAACCAATAATTTCATATCTAGCCAAACTAAGCTTCATAAGCTAAGGAGAAATAGGATCCTTTTCAGATAAGCAAATGCTAAGGGAATTTGTTACTGCCAGATCTTCCTAACAATAGGTCCTTAAAGGAGTGGTAAACATGAAAGTGAAAGACCATTACCAGCCACTACAAAGATATTCTTAAGTACATAGAGCATTGATGCTATAAAGCAACCACAGAAACAAGTCTACAAAATACCCAGCTAACAACACGATGACAAGGTCAAATCGGCACATATCAAAGCTAGCTTTGAACATAAATGGCTAAATTCTCCACTTTAAAAGACAAAGAGTAACAAGCTGGGTAAAGAAGTAAGACTCAACTGTATGCTGTCTTCAAGGGACCCATCTAACAATCAATGACACCTGTAGGCCCAAAATAAAGAGAGAAAAATCTACCAAGAAAAAGGAAAACAAAAAAAGCAGGGGTTGCTATTCTTCAGACAAAACAGACTTAAAACCAACAAGATCAAAAAGGACAAAGAAGGGCACTACATAATGATAAAGGTCATTTCATAATAATTATATATATTCTAAATATATATGCACCCAACACTGGGGCACTCAGATTCATTAAGCAAGTTCTTAGAGACAACAAAGACATTTTGATAAGCACACAATAATAGTGGGAGAGTTCAATGCCCCACTGACAGTATTAGACCATTTAGACAGAAAACTAACAAAGATACTCAGGACCTAAACACAACACTTGACCAAGGGGACCTAACAGACTCCTGCAGAACACTCCACCCAACAATTATAGAATATACATTCTTCTCATCTGTATGTGACACATACTCTAAAATTGACCACATACTTACCTATAAAGCAATTGTCAAAAATTCAAAAAACTGGTCATATGAACTGAAATCTCAGACTATAGTGCAGTAAATAGAGAAATCAATACCAAGAAAAGATATCTCAACATGAGAGGCAAGATGGCCAACTAGATGCAGCTAGGAGGAACACTTGCCACTGAGGAACTGGGACACAAGAAAGACTGACATACTCCAAGTAGATCTTCAGAAGGAGGACATTGAGAGTGGATGGAGGGAGGAAAGAGACACTAGGATGAAGGGAAGGAAGCTGGGAACCAAGCACAGGGCTACTGTGCCCTAGGATGTGTTCCTGGCCCCCACCTACTCCTGGGGAAGGTGTGAGTTGAATAGGTAAGCAGCGACCCACACGTATCACAGACCTCTGGATTCCTGGCAGCAGTGCACCCTAGGATCCCCACACACTTGAGATGGCAAGGAGAGCTTCTTACAGAACGGATAAGGAAAGGATTCCAGGCTGTCCAGAGGCCTGAGGGTTTGGCATAAAAACATCTACAGGGGAGCATGGCCAGGGATACCTATCCACCAAGTCTCACCTTGTTCCCCTACAAGACTTTAGTATAAGGGGAACTGTCAGATGAGGACAGAACAGGAAAATCTTGCATGTGAGATGGGCCCTGTCTGAATTGAGTGCCTTTCTGTCTGCTGGTCTTTCCCAAGGACCCAGCTTGGCCATGCCTGCTTGCAGTGAGGCCTCAGATGCCCAACTGGCTGTCTCCTGGGGGCCTGCATTCTAGCTCCTGCACTGTAAGGCCATGCCTGACCGTCAGAGAGCTCCGGCAGAGTGGCCCCACCAACACACACCAGCCCATCTGCACCCTCCCCCAACCACAGCCTCCCCATACCACTTTGTTAGCATGCACTCATCCATGGCCACCACCCCCTGCCATTGCTTTGATGGTGTACATGTGCACATGTGAAACTCACCTTCCCTACCACACCAGTGCATGCATGTGTGTGCACCCCACCATGCCATTGCTTGCCAGTGTAAGTACACTTCTCCCCACATCCACACTGCTGTCTATTGGGTATTATGCTTATTACATTGGTGATGAAATAATCTTTACACCAAACACTCATGACACACAATTTACCTATAAAACAAACCTGCACATGTATCCTTAAGACTAAAATAGAAGTTAAGATAAATAAATTAAATTAAATTGAAAAAAGAAGACTAGCAGTTGCTTCCAAGATGGCCAAATAGGAACAGCTCTGGTCTACAGCTCCCAGTGAGATTGATGCAAAAGACAGGTGATTTCTGCATTTCCAACTGTGGTATCTTGTTCATCTCACTGGGACTAGTGGGTGCAGCTCACAGAGGGAGAGCCAAAGCAGGGTGGGGCATTGCCTCACCCAGGAAGCACAAGGGGACAGGGGATTTCCTTTTCATAGTCAAGGGAAGCCGTGAGTGACCGTACCTGGAGGAATGGTATACTTCTGCCCAAATACTGCACTTTTCCCACAGTCTTTGCAGCCAGCAGACCAGGAGATTCCCTCCTGTGCCTGGCTCGGCAGGTCCCTCATGCATGGAGCCTTGCTCACTGCTAGTGCGGCAGTCTGACATCAACCTGGGACACTGGAACTTGGGGAGGGGGGAGGGGCATCTGCCATTGCTGAGGCTTGAGTAGGTGGTTCTATGCTCACAGAGTAAACAAAGTGGCAGGAATACTCAAACTGGGCAGAGCCCACTGCAGTTCAGCAAGGCCTAGTGCCACTCTAGATTCCACCTCTGGGGGCAGGGAATATCTGAACAAAAGGCAGCAGACAGCTTCTGCAGACTTGAACTTCCCTGCCTGACAGCCCTGAAGAGAGCAGTGGTTCTCCCAGCATGGCGTTCGAGCTCCGATAATGGACAGAGTGCCTCCTCAAGTAGGTCCCTGACCCCTGTGTAGCCTGGCTGGGAGACACCTCCCAGTAGGGGCTGACAGACATTTCATACAGGTGGTTGCCTCTCTGGGACGAAGATTCCAGAGGAAGGGTCAGACAGCAATATTAGCTGTTCTGCAGCCTCCGCTGGTGATACCCAGGCAAACAGGGTATGGAGTGAACCTCCAGCAAACTCCAACAGACCTGCAGCTGAGGAGCCTGTCTGTGAGAAGGAAAACTAACAAACAGAAAGGAATAGCATCAACATCAACAAAAAGGACATCTACACCAAAACCCTATCCATACCTCACCAACATCAAAGACCAAAGGTAGATAAAACCGCAAAGATGGAGAGAAACCAGAGCAGAAAGGCTGAAAATTCTAAAAACCAGAATGCCTCTTCTCCTCCAAAGGAACACAGCTCCTCACCAGCAAAAGGATGAAACTGGATGGAGAATGAGTTTGACAAGTTGACAGAAGTAGGCTTCAGAAGGTCTGTAATAACAAACTTCTCTGAGCTAAAGGAGCATGATCTAACCCATTGCATGGAAGCTAAAAACCTTGAAAGAAGGTTAGACGAATGTCTAAATAGAATAACCAGTGCAGAGAAGAGCTTAAATGACCTGATGGAGCTGAAAACCACAGTACGAGAAATTCGTGAAGCATACACAAGCTTCAATAGCTGATTTGATTAAGCAGAAGAAAGGATATCAGTGATTGATTATCAAATTAATGAAATAAAGCAAGAAGACAAGAATAGAGAAAAAAGTGAAAAGAAATGAACAAAGCCTCCAAGAAATATGGGACTATGTGAAAAGACTAAATCTACATTTGATTGGTGTACCTGAAAGTGACGGGGAGAATGGAACCAAGGTAGAAAACACTCTTCAGGATATTATCCAGGAGAATTTCCCCAACCTAGCAAGGCAGGCCAACATCCAAATTCAGGAAATACAGAGAACACCACAAAGATACTCCTCAAGAAGAGCAACCCCAAGACACATGATCGTTAGCTTCACCGAGGTTGAAATGAAGGAAAAAATGTTAAGTGCAGCCAGAGAGAAAGGTTGGTTTACCCACAAAGGGAAGCTCGTCAGACTAACAGTGGATCTCTCTGCAGAAACCTTACAAGCCAGAAAAGAGTGGGGGCCAATATTCAACATTCTTAAAGAAAGGAATTTTCAACCCAGAATTTCAGATCCAGCCAAAATAAGTTTCATAAGTGAAGGAGAAATAAAATCCTTTACAGACAAGCAAATGCTGAGAGATTTTGTCACCACCAGGCCTGCCCTACAAGAGCTCCTGAAGGAAGCACTAAACATGGAAAGGAACAACCGGTACTAGCCACTGCAAAAACATGCCAAATTGTAAATACCATTGACACTATGAAGAAACTGCATCAATTAATAGGCAAAATAAACAGCTAGCATCATAATGACAGGATCAAATTCACACATAACAATATTAACCTTAAATGTAAATGGGCTAAATGCTCCAATTAAAAGACATAGACTGGCAAATTGGATAAAGAGTCAAGACCCGTTGGTGTGCTGTATTCAGGAGACCCATCTCATGTGCAAAGACACACGTAGGCTCAAAATAAAGGGATGGAGGAAGAGCTACCAAGAAAATGGAAAGCAAAAAAAAGCAGGGGTTGCAATCCTGGTCTCTGATAAAACAGACTTTAAACCAACAAAGATCAAAAGAGACAAAGAAGGCCATTACATAATGATAAAAGGACCAATTCAACAAAAAGAGTTAACTATCCTAAATATATATTCACCCAATACAGGAGCACCCAGATTCATAAAGCAAGTTCTTAGAGACCTACAAAAAGACTTAGAATCCCACACAATAATGATGGGAGACTTTAACACCCCACTGTCAATATTAGACAGATCAGAGAGACAGAAAATTAACAAGGATATCTAGGACTTGAACTCAGCTCTGGACCAAGCAGACCTAATAGACATCTACAGAACCGTCCACCCCAAATCAGTAGAATATACATTCTTCTCAGCACCACATTGCACTTATTCTAAAATTGACCACATAATTGGAAGTAAAACACTCCTCAGCAAATGTAAAAGAACAGAAATCACAACAAACTGTCTCTCACACCACAGTGCAATCAAATTAGAAATCAGCATTAAGAAACTCACTCAAAACTATACAACTACATGGAAACTAAACAACCTGCTCCTGAATGACTACTGGGTAAATAAAGAAATGAAGGCAGAAATAAAGAAGTTCTTTGAAACCAATGAGAACAAAGGCACAACATACCAGAATCTCTGGGACACAGCTAAAGCAGTGTGTAGGGGGAAATTTGTAGCACTAAATGCCCACAAGAGAAAGCAGGAAAGATCTAAAATCAGCACCCTAACATCACAATTAAAAGAACTAGAGAAGCAAGAGCAAACAAATTCAACAGCTAGCAGAAGACAAGAAATATCTAAGATCAGAGCAGAACTGAAGTGGTGGATAGAGACACAAAAAACCCTTCAAAAAATTAATGAATCCAGGAGGTGTTTTTTTTTTTTTGAAAAGATGAACAAAATAGACCGCTAGCAAGACTAATAAAGAAGAAATGAGAGAAGAATCAACCAGACACAATAAAAAATGATAAAGGGGATATCACTACTGATCCCACAGAAATACAAACTACCATCAGAGAATACTATAAACGGCTCTATGCAAATAAACTAGAAAATCTAGAAGAAATTGATAAATTCTTGGACACATACACCCTCTCAAGACTAAACCAGGAAGAAGTTGAATCTCTGAATAGACCAATAACATGTTCTGAAATTGAGGCAATAATTAATAGCCTGCCAACCAAACAAAGTCCAGGACCAGATGGATTCACAGCCAAATTCTACCAGAGATACAAAGATGAGCTGGTACCATTCCTTCTGAAACTATTCCAATGAATAGAAAAAGAGGGAACCCTCTCTAACTCATTTTATGAGGCCAGTATCACCCTAATTCCAAAGCCTGGCAGAGACACAACAAAAAAAGAGAATTTTAGAACAATATCCCTGATGAACATCAATGCAAAAATCCTCAATAAAATACTGGCAAAACAAATCCAGCAGAACAACAAAAAGCTTATCTACCACGATCAAGACAGCTTCATCCCTGGGATGCAAGGCTAGTTCAACATACGCAAATCAATAAACGTAATCCATCACATAAACAGAACCAACAACAAAAACCACATGATTATCTCAATAGATGCAGAAAAAGCCTTTGTCAAAATACAACAGCCTTTCATACTAAAAACTCTTAATAAAGTAGGTATTGATAGAACGTATCTCAAAATAATAAGAGCTATTTATGACAAACCACGCCAATATCATACTGAATGGGCAAAAGCTGGAAGCATTCCCTTTGAAAACCAACACAAGACAAGGATGCCCTCTCTCACCACTCCTATTCAACATAGTGTTGGAAGTTCTGGCCAGGGCAATCAGACAAGAGAAAGAAATAAAGGTTATTCAGTTAGGAAAAGAGGAAGTCAAATTGTCTCTGTTGCAGATGACATGATTTTACATTTAGAGAACCCCATCATCTCAGCCTAAAATCTCAAGCTGATAAGCAACTTCAGCAAAGTCTCAGGATACAGAATCACTGTGCAAAAATCACAAGCATTCCTATACACCAGTAACAGACAAACAGAGCCAAATCATGAGTGAACTCCCATTCACAATTACTACAAAGAGAATAAAATACCTAGGAATCCAACTTACAAGGGATGTGAAGGTCCTCTTCAAGGAGAACTACAAACCACTGCTCAATGAAATAAAAGAGGGCACAAACAAATGGAAGAACATTCTATGCTCATGGATAGGAAGAGTCATTATTGTGAAAATGGCCATACTGTGCGAGGTAATTTATAGATTCAATGCTATCCCCAACAAACTACCACTGACTTTCTTCACAGAATTGGAAAAAAGTAGTTTAAAGTTCATATGGAACCAAAAAAGAGCCCGCATTGCCAAGACAATCCTAAGCAAAAAGAACAAAGCTGGAGGCATCATGCTACCTGACTTCAAATTATATGACAAGCCTACAGTAACCAAAACAGCATGGTACTGGTACCAAAACAGATATATAGACCAATGGAACAGAACAGAGGTCTAAGAAATAATACCATACATCTACAACCGTCTGATCTTTGACAAACCTGACAAAAAAAGCAATGGAGAAAGGATTCCCTATCTAATCAATGGTGCTGGGAAAACTGGCTAGCCAAATGTAGAATTCTGAAATTGGATGCCTTCCTTACACCTTATAAAAAATTAACTCATGATGGATTAAAGACTTAAATGTAAGACCTCAAACCTTAAAAACCCTAGAAGAAAACCTAGGCAATACCATTCAGGAGATAGGCATAGGCAAAGACTTCATGACTAAAACACAAAAAGCAATGGCAACAAAAGCCAAAATTGACAAATAGGATCTAATTAAACTAAAGAGCTTCTGCACAACAAAAGAAACTATCATGAGAGTGAACGGGCAACCTACAGAATGGGAGAAAAATTTTACAATCTATCCATCTGACAAAGGGCTTATATCCATAATCTACAAAAAACTTACACAAATTTACAAGAAAAAAACAACCCCATGAAAAATTGAGCGAAGGATATGAACAGACACTTCTCAAAGAAGACATTTATGCATCCAACAGACATATGAAAAAATGCTCATTATCACTGGTTATCAGAGAAATGCAAATCAAAACCACAATGAGATACCATCTCATGCAAGTTAGAATGGTGATCATTAAAAAGTCAGGAAACAACAGATGCTGGAGAGGATATGGAGAAACAGGAATGCTTTTGCACTGTTTGCAGGAGTGTAAATTAGTTCAACCATTGTGGAAGACTGTGTGGTGATTCCTCAAGTATCTAGAACTAGAAATACCATTTGGCCCAGCAATCCCATTACTGGGTATATACCCAAAGGATTATAAATCATGCTACTATAAAAACACATGCACACGTATGTTTATTGTCGCACTGTTTGCAATAGCAAAGACTTGGAACCAACCCAGATATTCATCAATAATAGACTGGATAAAGAAAGTGTGGCACATATACACCATGGAATACTATGCAGCCATAAAAAAGATGAGTTTATGTCTTTGCAGGGACATGAATGAAGCTGGAAACCATCACTCTCAGCAAACTATCATAAGGACAGAAAACCAAACACCGCATGTTCTCATTCATAAGTGGGAGTTGAATAACAAGAACACGTGGACACAGGGAGGGGAACATCACACACCGGGGCCTGTTGGCAGGTGGGGGGCTGGGGGAGGGATAGAGTTAGGAGAAATACCTAATGTAAATGAGAGTTGATGGGTGCAGCAAACCAACATGGCACATGTATACCTATGTAACATACCTGCACATTGTGCACATTTACCCTAGAACTTAAAGTATAATAATAATAAAAGAAGACTATATCTCAAAACTTTAAAATTACGTGGAAATTAAACAAGCTGCTTCTGGATGACTGTTGGGTAAACAGTGAAATTAGGGCAGAAATCAAGAAATTCTTCAAAACTAATGAAATCAAAGATACAACTTACCAAAATTTTTGGGACATGGCTAAAGCAGTGCTAAGAGGAAAATTTATAGTGCTAAACACCCACATCAAAAAGTTAGAAAGATCTCATATTAACAACCTAATATCACACCTAGAGGAACTAGAAAAACAGGAGCAAATCAGCCCCAAAGCTAGGAGAAGAAAAGTAACAACTACAATCAGAGCTGAACCATATAAAATTGAGACACAAAAAGCTTTAAAAGATCAATGAAATCAAAAATTAGTTTTTTGAAAGATCAACTAAGATTGTAGACCATTATCTAGATTAATAATGAAAAAAAGATGAAAAGAACCAAGTAAACACAATCATAAATGACCAAAAGGACATTACCATCAATTCACCAGGAATACAAAAAACCCTCAGAGATTATTATGAACGTCTCTATGCATACAAATTAGAAAATCTAGAATAAATGTATATATTCCTGGAAATATACAACCTCCCAAGATTGAACCAGGAAGAAATTGAAACCCTGAGCAGACCAATAATGAGCTCCAAAATTGAATCAGTAAGACAAAGCTAGCCAACCAAAAAAAGTCCAGGACCAGACAGATTCATAACTGAATTCTACCAGATGTATAAAGAAGAGTAGATACCACTCCTACTGAAAGCATTCCAAAAAATTGAAGAGGAGGAATTCCTGCCTAGCTCATTCTATAAGGCCAGCATTATCCAGATATCAAAACCTGGCAGAGACACAACAGCAAAAAATGTCAGGCCAATATTGCTGATAAACATAGAGGCAAAAATCCTCAACAAAATAGTAACAAAGTGAATCCAGCAGCACATCAAAAAGCTAATCCACTATGATCATAGTGGATACTTGATCAAGTAGGCTTTCTCCATGGATGCAAGGATGGTTCAACATATGCAAATGAACACATGTGATTCATCACATAAACAGAACTAAAAACAAAAACCACATCGTTATCTCAGTAGATGTAGAAAAGGCCTTAAATAAGAATTCAACATCCTTTCATGTTAAATAGCCTCAATGACCTAACCATTGAAGGAACATAACTCAAAATAATGAAAACCATCTACGAAAAAAACACAGCTATAATCATACCGAATGGGCAAAAGCCAGAGACATTTTGCTGGAGCTGGAACAAGACAAGCATGGCCACTCTCATCAGTCTTATTCAACATAGCACTGGAAATCCTGGCCAGAGAAATCAGGCAAGATAAAGAAATAAAAGGCCTTTAAATTGGAAAAGAGGAAGTCAAACTATCTCTCTTCAAAGACAATATAATTCTATACCTAGAAAACCCTATAGTCTCTTCCCAAAGGCCCCTAGATGTGGTAAACTACTTCACCAAAGTTTCAGGTTACAAAATCAATGTATAAAAATAGGTAGCATTTCTACATACGAATAACATTTGAGCTTGGAACCAAATCAAGGACACAATCCTATTCACAATAGACATACACACACACACACACACACACACACACACACACACACACAATACCTATGACTACATTTAACCAAGGAGGCGAAAGATATACACAGTGAGAATTTTAAAACACTGCTTAAATAAATCAGAAATGACCCAAACAAATGGAAAAACATTACATATTCATGAATAAAAAGAATCAATATTGTTAGAATGGTCATACTACCCAAAGCAATTTATAGATTCAGTGCTATTCCTATAAAACTACCAATGGCATTCTTCACAGAATTAGAAAAAAAAACTATTTTACAATTTATATGGAACCAAAAAAAAGCCTGAATATCCAAGACAATCCTAAGCCAATGGATGAAGCTGGGGACATCACGTTATTCAACTTCAAACTATACTACAAGGCTACAGTAAACCAAACAGCATGGTACTCTTACAAAAATAGACACAGACCAATGAAGCTGCACACTTACAACCATCTGATCTTCAACAGAATCAACAAAAACAAACAATGGGGAAAGGACTTCCTATTCAATAAATGGTGATAGTGTAACTGCCTAGTCATGTACTTAAGATTGAAACTGGACCCGTTCCTTTTGCCTTATAAAACAATCAACTCAACTTGTATTAAAGCCTTAAACATAAAACTTAAAACCATAAAACCCTTGAAGAAAACCTAGGAAATACCATTCTGGACATAGGTCCCAGCAAAGATTTAATGACAGGCTCCAAAAGGACTTGCAACAAAAACATTAATTGACAAATGGTAACTAATTAAGCTAAAGATATTCTGCTAAGTGAAAAAACAAAAAAACAAAAGAAACTCTCAACACAGTAAACACACAACCTACAGAATGGGAGAAAATATTTGCATCTATGCATCCGACAAATGAATATATATATATATATATATCCAATATATCCAAAGGAATATAAATGATTCTGCCATAAAGGCACATGCACACATATGTTCATTGCAGCACTATTCACAATAGCAAAGACATGGAATCAACATAGGTGTCCATCAGTGGAAAAGTAGATAAATAAAATGTGGTACATATACCCATGGAATTCTATGTAGCCGTAAAAAAGAACAAGATCGTGTCCTTCTCAGCAACATGAATGGAGCTGGAGGCCATTATTGTAAGTGAATTAATGTAATAACAGAAAACCAAATACTGCATATTCTCACTTATATGCGGGAGCTAAACATTGAGTACACACGGACACAAAGAAGGAAACAATAGACATGGGGGCCTACTTGAAGGTGGGGCATGGAAGGAGGGTGAGGATTGAAAAACTGATCAGGACTATGCTCGTTACCTGGGTGACAAAATAATCTGTATGCCAAACCTCCATGCAATTTACTCAGGTAACAAACCTACACATTTACCTCTGAACCTAATATAAAAGTTGGAAAGGGGGGAAAAAAAGTAGGAGAAATGGACTTGCGTTGTGTCAAGTGGAAGCACAGTTGGCTATTGTATTTATTTATAAGCTTTAAGGATGGTTGAAAGAGTATGGTTTAAATATGATTCAAGTAAGTTGTCAAGGGACAGACAGGGGTAGGTTTGTACTATGTCAGCTTAGCTAAATTGGAACTACATATCCCAGAATTCCCTCCCTATATGCTTCCCAGTAGGCCACAAAAAACAATAATTGTTGAGAGTATGGAAAATGGAAGTGAAGAAGCAGTCATCTCTTTATTCCATTGGATCTCTCCTTCCTCAGCTTCTCTGGGCCAGGAGCATGAGCAGTCAGGTTATTGTGCCTCCTACCTATGTTATCATGATTGAGGTTGTGAGAGACAAGCATGAGTACTAGCTAGTTTTCAGGGGTTCTTGTTTGTCCTCATGGATTCCAGCTGTTCCTTGCTTCCCACTACATATGTCTTTATTTCCTTCGCAACAGCCAGCCTGTTGACTTCTAGAAAATACCAGATACACAGATAACAGCATTACACTAGACTGCCTAAGCAGCACCCACAAGTACATTAAGTCTAATTCCTATAATAAATTCCTTGTTCTGTAATACTCACAATGATTATGTTTCTCTGATCAAACCATGACTGATACAACTTCAAAAATTTATAGTAGTAGTTTAATAAAGAGAATTCTGGACTTGTGTTTCTCCTCTGTCTATATAATTCACCCACTACATCATGGCAAATGTCTTTGCCTGAGTTTCTTCATTTTGAAAATGACAACATAAACTCAGTCCATCTAAAAAATGTACATGCATTATGCATAGTACGTGTGTTTCATTTTTTCTATCATGAGTTTTGACAAATCTGTCCAATTATAGTCCTGTTAAACAGAAGACATCTGTGGATGTCTTCACCTTATTATCCTTTCTGAATCTTAAATACATCATATCCAAAAATAAATTAAAAATTTCTCCCACAAATCTTCCACCAATCTTCCACCTTTTTAAAAACTGCCAACTATATCACGCTTTTACCAGTAATTTAGACCTCAACAAATTATTTTAATTCTGCAAATTATTATGTGCATCCTTTGAATTTGGGACACGATATAACAAATGATCTCATGTGCATTCTTTCTCCATTTTCTCCTCTCTCCAGAGGCCATCCTTTAATCTCAATCCAAATTCAGTGTCTTCAATGAGTCTTGCTTAAACTTTCCTTGGTACTATTTCATACCTGTAAAACAATTTCAATTCAATAACATTTTTCATTATTCTGAATTCCATAACATAGTTTTATCTTCAGTATAAAATTTATAATCTTCCCTATATTATATTGTTTCATATATTTGTCACTTGTCCTTCTACCTTCATCCCACAAGACTAGGGTAGACAACATGCTTCATCTTCCGTTAAGAAGACACTAAATAAATATGTGTTGAATAAATAGATAAATGAATAAATAAATGAATATAGGGGATGTGAATGAAGAAGAGAAATTTTAAAAATGAGTGGAGTACATTGTAAAGTGGGTAAATATTGTGTAATGCCATATGACAGACGAAGAATGGAGTTATGTAAATATATTAGCTGTCTTATCTCTGATTCCACAGAGAGAGAAAATAAATGAGTCTGTTTCTACTACCCTATGGGAAATAAAAAAAAATTCCTTTCCCCTACCTGGAGAAAAAATGATTACAGTTTACAAAAACAGAAGACAATAAATAGCAGTTATCACTGCACAAAAATATGTGGGAACTAGGATCAAATTGGAGTTTGCATAAAAGAGAATAAAAATAAACTCAATTTATAAGTGATAAGATACAGAAATTATAGATCCCCTCCCCTCATAAACTTGCACAAACATATATATATCTTTAAGAAATTTTGGATTGCCCATAGGCTGTCATAAACTTGATCACATCTGATTTAAACATGAATAAATGCATTTCCTAACTCCTGCTTACACAGTCAGTAAGAGTGATCATGAAAATTCTCAATTGACTGTGGGTGTTATTTTCCTACCTCTCTGTCCATATGGCCCACATTCAGTATGTTCCTGTGCCACAGTCCCTTTCTCTTACTCAAGACTGTAATATTTGTCCATCCTCTAAGAGCTGTAGGAGGTGACTGTGTATGACTAATTTACTATTTTGTTATTTTCACCATGAGTTCACATAATTAAAACAAAGGTTAGAAGTATGCTGTACATAAAACTCAGATACCAATCACTATTAGTTTTTCAGGGATAGCCTTAAGGAATTCGGATAATGCCTTATTTTCTATCTTCAGGGCCGTAGGCCAAGACCCTACCTCTGGGTCTGAGAAGACAAGGTTATAGAGAAGTCCTCCAACAAAATGGTGCCAAGTCGGCCAAATTCCCTAATGACACCTGCACACTGCAATAATTCCTCCATTAAGCTAGAAAGGATCCCCAATTTGTCTGACAAGGCTACAGAAACATTGTAAATAGAGAAATGAGGACAAAGCCCCAGTCCTGCAGGAATTACACCTGCCATAAATTGATGACATTTCCTTAACATGTGATACCTTCCAGTAGTTAGCCCAAACCAAGTAGATATTTGATCCTGTACTGAAATGACACAATTGTGACCTTGGATTATGTCATGATAATATTAATCTCAAAGATATCTGGGAAACTGGACCATTTCCAAAACTACTTCTCTGAAGTTTTCTTGTGAACAAGAAATCTAATCTTTTCTGGAAAATTATTTTAATATTTAATACCCATTTTCTCTGTTTAATATTCTCCTCTTGAATACTAACATCCTTTAAGTCTACAAATATGTTTATCTCCCCACTCTCTATCATTAAAAGACATGAACAGAATTTTAAAAAGCAACAGAAAGACAACCAAACTTTTCTCTTTATGCTATCACACCAATTTCCTGTCAGTATCTCTCTCCTCAGAGAAGTCTTTTGCTATCTCTCTTTCCTCATTCTTCCCCTTTATCACTCATTATCTGACACTTTGCGTGTGTCTTCTGTTTTCAGAATCCTGTTTAAAAACACTCTTTTTTATCAGCATTATTTTCCCCCGCAGTGGCCATGGGGAATAGCCTCATTCAAATAGTTCTGATTTAAAACATAAGCACCAAAGGCATAGCGTTGAGTTTTGCTACACAAGAGAAAATGTTTTAGGCTTAATATGCTACAGAGCACAGAGTTCTTACAGAAATACGCACAAGAAATTTACTATCACTCAATACTCAGTTTCGGGAGATTATTCTTGATTACCATCTTTAAGCTGTTTCTCCTATGTACCAAGCATAGATGGTGTGAATCTTTCTATTGAGTAAAGCTATCACAGTTCTTGCGCTGGCAACTAAGTATTGTCCTGAACGTTCAATGTCGTGGCATATACTGTACACTACTATGCACCATGTGCTATTTGACTTTGGAGAATTTTGTTGAGATCACCTGAGTACATGTTTGGTGGCTTGCCCATAGATGCCCCATAAATTATTTATTCCTGTATACTTTGCTCTTCTGTCATATTTATGGCATTTTTCTATCAGTTGAAAGGGTTACAACTCCCTTTTTTCAGTCTCCAATTTCTTTTCTTTAAATCCTCCTGCTGATTTCGATTACCCAGACGTCTTCTGTAATATCGTAGTCGTATTTTCCTCTTATTTTACTGTCATTCCCCTATCATGTAACTTTGGCCATCAAGTTTACACAGATTCCTAAATCAATATCTTACAGAAGCCTTTCTTCTTGAACTCCAGCTCAGGCTTCCAACTGTTTACTTAATTTATTCACGTGCATATATCACTCCCTCTGCAAACTGTGCACACTTTTCTATCCTCACAAGACAGTCATAACACCTGCTCTCACATAAATAAATCTAAAACAGATAATGTAGTTCCTTGGAAAAGAATATTCAACATTTTCATCAATGATTACATAAGAGCACAAGCGACTTTGTCATGAAATTTGCACATGAATAGATAGTGTAGCATACTTGATGGCTTAGTTGTTATCTTGAAATATTTAGTAGATCAAAATTATTTGATGTTTATGATAATATGAAATCTATTTGGACAAAAAGTTAAATCCTCCTCTTGGTCCTAACACATACACCTAACTACAGAAAATGTAATGGCTAAACCACATGGCTTAAGTATTCTAAAGTAACAAGATTTACTTGTTTTATTTAGTTTAATTAGAAATGAAGTGACTAGCAGACAGGGCACACCTTTCTGGATGCTAAATGGATTAGAATGCATCTGGATTATTATAGTGATTGTTTCTAAATGTAGAGATCTTTTACAAATGTAAAGAAGGATGTTATGAAATCCAGGTGAATGATTAGGAAAAAAAAGGAAAAACAAAATTGAGAATACCTGAAGCAGAAATATGATGCGGCTCCATTGACTAAGATCCTTAAAAGGATTGTATGCAGATCAGGTAGATATATGGCACATAACTAATGTTCGAGCTCTGATGTCAGAAAAACTTGGGTTCAAATCTTGGCCATCACATTCCACAGTTATGTGAAATTTGAACAAGTGATTTAACTCTCATCCTTCAGTTTCCAGCACTTCATAAAGTGATTGGAAGTATTAAAATGAATAATACAGGCAAAGTGCTAGACGCAGTGCCTAGCACATAATAAAATGGCCAATAATTATAAGTTATTATTATCAGTGAATGGAATTTAGAAAAGCAGATTTTAGCTCAACAAATTTTTTTATAAAAAATTGTGGTTTGCATATACGTAAATGGAAAAACCTCACTTTAAAAATTTTATCTTGAGAAAGTTCAAGGTTAACTTCATCTCAACAACTTTTCAGTGTTTTTGAGGGGATTAATTGTACTACATGATGTCTTATGTTTGTTATAATTTAAATCCATTATGATTCTTAAGTGTTAGATATCTAAGACGACATATTTTATTGGAAGAAATGAGTAGATGAGATTAACGTGAAGGCTAGTGAGGGAAATGCCCTTGGACTTTTGATGCCTCTCAAATTGTTCTGAGTCCCAAGGAGGCTCTCTCTGCCCCTGGATACAATCTGCTAACATAGGCTTTGAACTAAATGGTGAAAATATCTTTTGCCAGTTTCCATCATTTCTAATCTTTTGGGAGTAACTACTTCTTCTAGGATCTGTCTAGCTTCAACAGTAAATGCTTTGATATTTCCTAGGAACTTTTGTGTTTTCATTTTAAACCAGTGATGGCAGAAAGAAGCAAATAAATGGATAAACGTGTGTGACAAGAAACAATTACCTCTCACCTCCAGCTATCACTGTCCTTCAGCAACTGGAAGTCAGCATTAAAAAATCACCTGATGGGAATTTCAGGGAAATTAGCAGCTCTCACTAAAGTCCTATATCAGTATTTCCTCTTCATAATAATATATATATATATATATATATCCCAGGCCATGGGAATAGTCAATGTATTTATTTAAAAGATCCTACATCATTTTACAGGTAGCCTGGGAGAAATTATAGTTTGATGTGAATAATACATAACAAGTGAGATTAGTAGAAGAGTGAAATTTGTTATGACAATTGTTGGTATGAATTTTTATGTTTTCTTTATGTTATTTCCATATTGTTCCTAGCCTATTTCCATAATAGTTTTCTGGGTTACTGTGTCTATATTTTGCCTCCTCTAACTGTCATTATGTATGAGCTCTTCATTGCTTCATAAGAAAAAACAGTATTTTATTCCAGCTATATGCTACAATAGGAGTAATGTAACTATTTTTTTTCTGCCTAGGAGTCACGTCACATTGCATATTAAAATATTTAACTTGAATATCAGGGAGGTCCATTAAGCATTTAGCCATGGGCAATGGTGTCAGGTGATGTGAAATACCAGTAGAATACACATTTATTTGGCCACAATGATTCTCTCAAATTATGTGTTTATTCCTGATTGATTTCCTTGTTGATGGTGTCAGAAGAAGTTTTTTCTGTTTTTTAAATTTTTTTTAACTTTTATTTTAAGTTCAGGGGTACATGTGCAGGTTTGTTATATAGCTAAACTTGTGTCTTGGGGGCTTGTTGTACACATTATTTCATCACCCAGGTATTAAGCCTAGTATCCATTAGTTATTTTTCCTGATCCTCTACTGCCTCCCACCCTCCATCTTCCAAAAGGCCCCATTGTGTGTTGTTCCCCTCTATGTTTCCTTGTGTTCTCATAATTTGGCTCCCAATTGTGAGTGTGAACACGCAGGATTTGTATTTCCGTTCCTGTGTTAGTTTGCTAAGGATAATGGCCTCCAGCTCCATTCATGTCCCTGCAAAGGATATGAGCTCTTTTTTTTTTAAGGCTGCATAGTATCCATGATGTTTATGTATCACATTTTCTTTATCCAGTCTATCATTACTGGGCTATCATTTAAGTTGATTCCATGTCTTCGCTATTGTGAATAGTGCTGCAATGAACATATGTGTGCACGCCTCTTTATAGTAGAATGATTTATATTCCTTTGGGTATATACCCAGTGGATAGTTGGGTCAAATTGTATTTCTGTCTTTAGGTCTTTGAGGAATTGCCACACTGTCTTCTGCAATGGTTGAACTAAATTACATTCCCACCAACAGTATACAAGTTTTTTCTTGTATACTCCTTTTTCTCCAAAACCTCAACAGCATCTGCTATCTTTTGACTTTTTAATAATAACCATTCTGAGTAGTGTGAGATGATATCTCATTGTGGTTTTGATTTGCATTTCTCTAATGATCAGTGAAGTTGAGGTTTTTCCATATGATTGTTGGCCACATGTAAGTCTTCTTTTGAAAAGTGACTGTTTATGTCTTTTGCTCATTTTAAATGGGGTTGTTTATTTTTTTCTTGTAAATTTGTTTAAGTTCCTTATAGATGCTGGATATTAGACCTGTGTTGGATGCATAGTTTGCAAAAATTATCTCCCATTGTGTATGTTGCCTGGTTACTCTGTGGATAGTTTCTTTTGCTGTGCAGAAGCTCTTCAGTTTAATTAGACCCCATTTGTCAATTTTTGCTTTTGTTGCAATTGCTTTTGGCAATTTCATCAGGATATCGTTGCCCGTGCTTATGCCCTGAATGGTATTGCCTAGTTTGTCTTCTAAGGTTTTTATGGTTTGGGGTTTTACATTTAAGTTTTCAATTCATCTTTATAAGGTATAAGGAAGGGGACCGGTTTCAATTTTCTGCATATAGCTAGTCAGCAGCATTTATTGAACAAGGAATACCTTCCTCATTGCTTGTTTTTGTCAGGTTTGTCAAAGATCAGACAGTTAGAAGTGTGCGGTCTTATTTCTGGGTTCTCTGTTCTGCTCCATTGGTCTGTGTGTCTGTTTTTGTACCAGTACCACGCTGTTTCAGTTACTGTAGCCCTGTAGTATAATTTGAAGTCAGTTAGCATGATGTCTCCAGCTTTATTCTTTTTGCTTAGGATTTCCTTGGCTGTTCGGGCTCTTTTTTTGGTTCCCTATGAATTTTAAAATGATTTTTTTTCTAGTTCTGTGAAGAATGTCAATGGTAGTTTAATAGGCATAGCATTAAATCTACACATTGCTTTGGGCAGTATGACCATTTTCACAATATTGATTCTTCCTATCGAGGAGCATGGAAAGTTTTTCCATTTGTTTGTGTCATCTGTGATTTCTTTGAGCAGTGGTTTGTAGTTCTCCTTGAAGAGAACTTTCACCTCCCTAGTTAGCTGTATTCCTAGGTATTTTATTATTTTTGTGGCAACTGTGAATGCTAGTTCATTCCCGATTTGGCTCTCAACTTGACTGTTGTCAAGGCATGTTAGTGATTTTTGCACATTGATTTTGTATCCTGAGACTTTGCTGAAGTTGTTTATCAGCTTAAGAAGCTTTGGGGCTCAGACTATGGGTTTTTCTAGATATAGGAACACGTTGTCCACAAACAGGAATAGTTTGACATTTTCTCTCCCTATTTGAATGCTCTTTATTTATTTCTCTTGTCTGGTTGCCCCGGCCAGGACATACAATACTATGTTGAATAGGAGTGGTGAGAGAGGGCATCCTGGTCTTGTGCAGGTTTTCAAGGGGACTGCTTCCAGCTTTTGCCCATTCAGTATGATGTTAGCTGCGAGTTTGTCATATATGGTTCATATTATGTTGACTATGTTCCCTTTAATACCTAGCTTATTGAGAGTTTTTAGCATGAATGGATGTTCAATTTTATCAAAAGCTTTTTCTGCATCTATTGAGATAATTATGTGATTTTTGTCTTTAGTTCTGTTTTTGTGATGAATCACATTTATTGATTTGCATATGTTAAGCCAACCTTGCATCCAGGGATAAAGCCTACTTGATCATGGTGGATAAGCCTTTTGATGGGTTGCTGAATTTGGTTTGCCAGTATTTTGCACAGGATTTTTTACATTGAAGTTTATCAAGGATATCGGCCTGAAGTTTTATTTTTGTGTGTGTGTGTCTCTGCCAGTTTGGTATTAGGATGATGCTGTTCTCATCAAATGAGTTAGGGAGGAGTCCCTCCTCCTCAATTTTTTGAAATAGTTTCTGTAGCAATGGTACCAGCTCTTCTTTGTACACCTGATAGAATTCAGCTGTGAATCCATCTGGCCCTGGGCTTTTTTTGGTTGATAAGCTATTTAACACTGCTCAGTTTCAGAGCTCGTTATTGGTCTGTTCAGGGATTCAATTACTTCCTGGTTCAGTCTAGGGAGGAATGTATGTACCCAGGAATTAAGCCATTTCTTCTAGATTTTCTAGTTTATATGCATAAACTAGATGTTCATGATATTCTCTGATGGTGTTTATATTTCTGTGGAGTCAGTGGTAATATCCTCCTTGTCATTTCTGATTGTGTTTATTTGAATAGAAGAGTAAATATTTATCTCTTCCGTAGAAAGCATTTAATTTCTTTTCCACCTTTTAAAATTTTTTATTTAGCCTGTCACTTATTCATGTCAGTACAGTGTTTTCACAAGTATAACAATTAATAGTAATTTAATAAATCTATGATCCTGAGGGAGCTTCAATAACTCTTTTGTACAATAACATAGATCCAAGTGGAATACACCAATCCTATCAAAAGGAAATGATGATTTAGCCTATATTGACGAAGCCTTCTGTCAGCTCCCAAATGTAAGTACCTTTAGGAATTAAAGATTTCAGACTGCCTTACCAAGTTACCAAAAATAAAGAAAGAAAGTAGCAATAAAAGACAGTTTGTGGTATTTTCTTTAGATCTAGCCTTTCACATTTTAATTTATGAAAATTAATAATATTCAATATTTCATATTTACAGGAATACCATAGGAAACAAGTAAATACTGGCATTAACCTCAAATATTGCTAATATGCCAAAGTAACTACACAGTTATTGTTGCTGTTAATTTCAGTAAAATTCTCAAATTATATTTAGGTTGTTAACTTTAACTTAGAATAGAGGTCAGCAAATCATGGTCTACTTCCTGTTTTTTATAAATAAAATTTTATTGGAACATAGCCACATCTATTCATTTACGTATGGTCGATGGCTGCTATAAACTACAGTGGCAAAGTTGAGTAGTTGTAAGAGACTGTGTGACCTACAAAACCTAAAATATTTACTACTTGGTCTTTTACAGAAAAAGTTTGCAAATCTGGACTTAGAAACTTCTTTTGGGAGAAAACTTTCATAGAACATGAATAGCTTCAGAGGCTATTATGTTCTGTGTGACTTTTCCAAGTTATTAGACTCTCAATATCACTAAATACTTTTACTACTTAATATTTTAAAATAAGATATTTTAGTAAAGCCTCTTTTGAAATATGTTTCCAGAAAGTACACACATCATTAGTATATAGTGTATAGTTCAGTGAAATTTTACTTAGTGAACATATCTGTATATTCTTCAGATTAAGATATATAGTATTACAACATAGGTTTTTCTCTTGTTCTTTGAGTCATTATCACCCAAAGGTAGGTCTAAAATTCTAAAATTCTGCCTTGTCTATCCATAGATAAGGTTTGCTGATATTGAACTTCAAGTAAAAGGAATCACACATTATGTTACTTATTTATATCTGGCTTCTTCATTAAACTTGTTTGTAACATGCATTCATGTTGTTACATGTAGCAGTGGTTTGTTTACCTTTTACTGACTTGTGTTCAATTTTATAGATGTAATACAATGTATTGTTTTATCTTGATGAATATTTAGGTTGTTCCCAGTTTTAGTGTCTGTTATCAATATTATTGTTGTTACCTTTCTTGAGCATGTATTTTGGTGAACTTCTGCTGAGTTCCTGTTGCGTATATACCGAAAGTGCAACTGTTAGGTCATAGGTAGAGGTAGGGGTGTGTGTGTGTGTGTGTGTGTGTGTGTGTGTGTGTGTGTGTGTTCAGCATTAGTAGATATTGCTAAACCGCGTGTGTATGTGTGTGTGTGTGTGTGTGTGTGTGTGTGTTTAGCGTTAGTAGATATTGCTAAACCATTTTCTGATGTTAATGAACCAATTAATCTTCCTACCAGTGGTAGAAATGTTACTGGTATGAAATATCAGTTAATCCACATTCATGCCAAAACTTTGTATTCCCATTTTCATTCAGATGTGTATGTCGAATAATATGGATTTAATTTGTATTTTCCACATGATATATAAGATTAAGCACATTGTCATATACTAGGCTATTTGGATCTATTCTATTACTTAGTCCTTTTACATATTATCTATATGTTTCTACTGGATTTGAAGGCATTCTTTATAAAATCTATTCTAGACATAAGTACTTTGCTGGTTATAATTATTAGAAATAGCATTTCCCATTCTGTGGTTTGCCTTTAATAAATCCCGTTTAATAAGTGTTTGTCTAATTCAAAATCACGAAGATATACTTTTTTATCTTCTAGCAATATTTCACATTTTGTTCTTCAAATTTAAATCTATAACACTATGAATTAGATTTTTGTTTGTGGTGTCAGGTAGTTTCATATCTTTCAGCCTTTTAAATATGTGATTCCAATGATTCTTCCTTTATATAATTCCTAATGAAGTCAGCGATCATACTTAATGTTTTTCCTTTGTAGATGATATGTGGTTTTTCCCTGACTCTTCAAGACTTTCACTTTGTCTTTGATTTCTGCCAGTTTTTCCACAGTTTGCTTAGATGTGTGTTGTGAGGAGCGGGAATGGTGGTGGGCTTAGTTTTCATGGAGAATCTTGAATCTGTTTTTTTCTAAAAGGGACATTCATTTTGTATCTCTTCAGACTTCTTTTGTCTTATTCCCTCTCTCTTTTGTTGTCGCTGTAATTAACATGTACTGGGCCTTTTAAACCATTTTTATCCTCTTTACAATTTATGCTTCAGTATGGATTTGTTAGATTGACCTGCCTTGCAGTTTTCTAATTCTGTTTTCTGATCTGTAAAATCTACAATTAAAGCTATCTATTGAATCTTTTAATTTCAGCAGTTGTATTTTTCAAATCTACTGTGCTCATTTGATTCTTTCCTTATAGATTTCATCTCTTTGAAATACATCAAATTTTCACATAGTTCCTGAATATATTACTGAGATATTCTGTGCCTTTCAATTGTCTACTTATACTCTTGTTATTTGCTACTTATACTATTTCCTGAAATACCTGATAAGTGCTGGATATTGTTTTGAAAAATTCGTAGAGGATTTGATGATGCTATCTTTCTTCAAAAATATTTAACTGTCTTCATGCTGGTATTTATAGTCAAGCCTCTCTGATCCAATACAGAATAAGCACGGTTTGAAGCTGGGTTCAAGATTTGTGAGAGATGGTCTGTTTCTGTCTTCAAGAATCTCAGTTTAAAGCTTGAAGTAATTTGCTGGGTACGACCTTAAAAATTATGACCAGGAGGTACCCCAAATGCTACCCTGGTCTACCAGAGTGATGGGGACTTACAAAGGTCAGATGATAGATTTATAGACTAACTTATCTTACAGTGGACTTAACACATCCCCACAACTGTGTGTGACTCTTTCTTTAGTTCCTGAATACTTAATGAACATCTTTGGTGCAGAAATCCCATGCAATAAGAGCTTTTAAAATACAGATACAAATCTCTCATGGTGTTGTGGTGAATGAGAAACAAATATTCCCCTAAAAAAGGAACCCAGTCTCAAAAACAGGCTTGGCTTCCTTTTAAGACATTGCCAAAATTTGCAGACATATACTGCAGGATGCTAAAGACCTAACATGAAAACACCTGAACGGTAGAATAATACCCTCCAGACCTGTAAGAGGGTCCTACAGGCTTTCAGGGCTAAAGAGAGCAAACAATCCATTAAGCTCTCAGTCAAATGTCCACGAGAGTAATGCCTGAGAAAATGGGTAGACCAGACTTGAATGGTCTTACTGCACTTGTAAACCAGCCCTGATCCAGCTCAATCGTGATTGACCAGCTTTCCACTCCTTTGGTATATTTACATTTCATGTCTTGTAGTATTGCTTGTGGAGTACTATAAGCAATGGAATTGACCAATCTGCAACTATGCCCAATTTTATGAATAAATCTCTGAACATAATGTTGAGGCAAGTAAGTCAGAGACAAAATATTATGTATTATATATTTTCACTTATATAAAGTATAAAAACTGACAAAAATATTTTTTGCTGGAAATCAGAATTATTTACCTTTGCCGGAGAGAGAGACTGCAAGACAGTGTGAGGGATATGCAGGATGCTTTTTCTTGATCTAGGTACTATTTACATGGTCATATTCAGTATGTGGACAATTAGTAGGCTTTTGATGTATGCTCCTTTCCCTATGCATATGATGCTTCATTAAAAGCTTTTAAGTCCACTGACAGTGTCAGAATATATTTTGATCCTTTTTTTCTAATAAAGAACTTGTAACAAGAATGTATAAAAATTCCTATGTGTCAACCTGAAAAAGATAACCATTAGTGAAAAAAATGGGCAAAAGGCTTAATAGCCACTTAATGAAAAAATTAGCCAAAAGACGAATAAACACAAGAAAAAAACCCTCAATTTTATTTGTTATCTGAAAACCACAATATGATCCCACTATACACATACCAGAAGGTCTATAAGTGAAAAAATAGAAAATAAATTTTGTTAAGGATGTGAAGCAACTAGAACTCAATACACTACTGGTGGTATTGAAAATTGGCACAGTCACTTTGGGAAACAATTTTTGGCAATAAATAAATATATATACATGCTTTGTAAAAAATTTTATTCCTGGGAATATGCTCAACAGAAATCCGTACTGATATTCTTAAAAAAACATGGATTATAATGTATAAAGCAGTATTGTGTGAATTGGGTAAAGATGGAAACAGCCCAAACACCATTTTGGAGAACATTGGCTAAATGACATGTAATATGTTTATATAATGGAATACTATGCCACATGTGTATGGAAATGAACAATCTATATCTCCACACACAATGATAGGGATGAATCTCACAAATACAATATTGAGCAAATGAAACAAGCACAAAGAAGTAAATACTACATTATTCCTTTGGTATAAATTATATAAACATATTGTTAGAAATGAGGCTAGGGTTCACCCTTGGGGTTGGTAGTGACTAGAAGGGATCGTAAAGGGGGTTTCTGAGACACTAGTACTGTTCTGTTTACTTGGAAGCTGGTTACATTTTGTGTTTGTTCTTAAAATTTTGTCAAGCCATACACTTAAGAGCATTCCAATTATGTATAATTTAAAAAAACAATAATGAATCCCTGCAAATATCATAGAAATTGGTGCCATCTTTAAAGACTTGAAAGATACATATATGTGATTATTCCTTTTGGTCAGTAGAGAAGACAAACAGGTCTTGGAAACTGCCGGTGTGTTATCGTAAAATTAATCATGTCTTGACTCCAGTTGTTGCTATTTCCAGATATTGTTTCTTTAGTTGGAATAAATCAACTCAGGCTCTAGTTCCTGTTAGACAGTTATTGATCTGGTGAAAGCTATTTTTTTCTATTGATTAGCAATGGCCACCAGAAGCGATTTGCTTTCATCTAGCAGTGCAGTAGCATACTTTCATTGCCTTACCTCTGGTTCTTTGTTTTAATCTAGTACACAGCAACCTTGATCAACTTGTCATTCCACATATATTGAGGGCATATATATTATCCACTATATTGATGTTATTTTGTTATTTGAAAATGAACAGGTTTCCTGGATGCCTTCATAAGACTCATGTACCAGAGAGTGGAGAAGAGTAAGACTCATGAAAACTCATGGGGTTGCTATTGTGGGGAGGTTTCTAGAAATCCAGATAAAAGGCTTATGCTGAGTTATTACTTCCAAATGAAAACCAATATTTCACATTGTTCTCCCAACATTAAAAAAAGGCTCAAATCTTTGTGGGACTTTTTAATACTAGAGGCAATATATAGCAGAACCAAATGTGTTCTACAATACATTTCATATTTAATCCAGCTTTGAGAGCATCCCAGAGAAAGAAAAGACTCTGAAGCTGGTCCCAGAGAGAGTATAGGTTACTCTGCACTGGAATAGTCTAATCCGGCAGATCTCTGGTACTTGAAATTTATGTGGCAGTTAGGAGTGCTGTCTATGATTTCTTGCAAGCCCCAATGGTAGAATCACAATACAGACTTTTGAATTTTGAGAAAAGTCATGGCTGCTTCTTTGACTAACTACTCTTTTTGTGAATCGTATTCGGATTTAGCCCTGGGATCTAGGAGATATGAGAAGTCTATTGTCAATGGGTTTTACCCTTCTTATCAAATCATAAAATTAGGTGTATATAGCAGTACTGCTGCATCACATGCATCTTAAATTGGGCTAAGCGGGATCTATAGGTTGTAAACCAAAAAGTGACTGAGGCAGATCTCAATTGATTTAAAGGTTTATTTTGCCAAGGTTAAGAATGTGACTCGGGGGAAAAACACACGTTACAATAGAATGCGTGGCCTGTACTTTTTCCAAAGAAGGTTTTGGGAACTTCAATATTTAGAGGAGAAAGGGCAAGCAGGAGGATAAGGGGGAAAAAGGGGAGAGAGAGTACGTGATGAGCCAAGTGGTTACATTCTTGTGAGGCTTTGATTAGCTCTATTCAGTGAATCCACATTTTACATGTAGAAAGAAGGGAGTTTGGGGGAAAGGCAGTTATGCATTCATCTCACGCTCAGTAAATCTATATTTTACATCTAATAAAGCAATCGGCTGGGCGCGGTGGCTCACTCCTGTAATCCCAGCACTTTGGGAGGCCGAGGTGGGCGGATCATGAGGTCAGGAGATCAAGACCATCCTGGTGAAACCCTGTCTGTACTAAAATTACAAAAAAAAATTAGCCGGGCGTGGTGGCGGGCACCTGTAGTTCCAGCTACTTGGGAGGCTGAAGCAGGAGAATGGCGTGAACCCGGGAGGCAGAGCTGGCAGTGAGCCAAGATCATGCCACTGCACTCCAGCCTGGGGAACAGAGTGAGACTCCATCCCAAAAACAAACAAACAAAAAAGCAATCGTGAAATTACTGCTATCTGTTTGGGAACAAATGGAAGGTACTTTCTTTGGGTAACTCAGTTACGAAGTTTAACTTTCCCTTCGGCCTAGCGAGTTTGGGGTGCTGAGAGTTTATTTTTCTTTCACAAGGTACAAGGAGGCCGTATGCATAGGTGACTCTAGGAATCCATGGATCTATGTTCATTATTTTGCCTATTCTCTCAAACTACATGTATTACATCATGAAGAATTTCCAATGATCAATTGATAGAACAACTAAAAAGTTCAGGACTGGTTAATTATGTATGATGAAATATAGCAATTGAAAAAACTAGTACTATACATAATAACATAGATAAATCTCACAGATATAATGAATGAAAGAAGCCAGGCACAAAACAGGACATATGTATGATTCAATTTTCATGACTTTTAGGAACAGACACAACTAATTTATGGTGTTAGAAATCAGAATAGTGTTTACCTTTGGGAGAGTCTTGATAGAATGATACATGAGAAAACCATCTATGGTGTTAGAAATATTCAATATTTTGTTCTGGGAGAGTTGCACATATTTGGTAGAAAGCATTGAGTTGCATCTTCAAATTTGATTTGCTTAAGTAAAAAAATTTTAAATAAAAATGAAAGATGAGAGAATTTTTACAAATCTGTTCTCCACTTCTATGTGAAGGGAATGTCTAAGATACTATGTCCGGACAATAAAGTTTTAAAATGTATGTTTTAAAACTAAGGAAATATTACAGCTACTGGTATGGGAGCCCCCAAAACAACCCCCAGATTCAATGAATTGCTAGGATAATATATAGGACTCAGCATATAGTTTTACTTACAGATATGATTTATTATAACAAAAAGATACAAGGAAAAATCAGCAAAGCGGAACAGGTACATGGAATGAAGTCCAAAGAAAACCAGGCACAAGTTTCCAAGTGACTTCTCCCAGTAAGTAACAAAGATAAACTAAAGTCTTCTAATGACAAGTTATAACAACACCTGTAACATATTGCCTACTGGGGAAGCTCAACAGAGACTCAGTGCCCAGGGATTTAATTGGGAGCTTTTCACTTAGGGACCATGTAGGCATGTGTCAAAATTCTAGACTCCCAGAGGAAATTAGATATTCAGCATAAACAACATTGTTTATACAAATAGTTTAGGCAAAGTGACTCACTCTTATCAGGGAATGGTGGGAACCCTCTCAAAAATACAAGTTTATAGATACTAGTCAAGGGCCTAACTTGCAAACAGGCCTTTCTAAATGTAAGTCTTTCTAAGTTTTAGGTCTGATAGATTACCTCTCTTCTGCACAGCAACCACATATGGGCAGGTCTACAACAAGCTCTAATATTTCAGGAATGATTATTTGATTTAGCCCATTAAGTAAGAAGCATGATCAGCGGAATTGATGGATGAAAGGTTAAGGACACCCTAAATACATGTAGAGGAGAGAAGATATAACTATACGTTATGGCTTTATGACCAATTTCACTTTCAGAAAGGAGGAAATCAGTAGTGGGTATTCTCTCCCTAACATTTTAATAAAGTTATTGTTGATTTAATCTATAGATTAAATTATATTTTTATAAATGTTGATTAACTAAATTGGAAGGAATAAACATTACACAGAGGATGATATTGGAGTCTCTTTTTGAAGAAGTAAGCACATTTTTATTTTACAAGAGTTAACTGTATGATGTTAGGCAGAAACACATTGCTCTAGATAATTTTTGTTTTGCAAGGATAATGGAGTATACCCTCCTATCCACAGAAGATATGTTTTAAAACCCCCAGTGGATGCCTGAAACCACAGATAGTATTGAATCCTCTACCTACTCTATTAGTCAGGGTTCTCTAGAGGGACAGAACCAATAGGATAGACGTATATATAAAGGGGAGTTTATTAAGGAGTATTGATACACACAATCACAAGGTAAAGTCCCACAATAGGCCATCTGCAAGCTGAGGAGCAAGGAAGTCAGTCCGAGTCCCAAAACTTCAAAAGTAGGGAAGCCGACAGTGCAACCTTCAGTCTGTCGCCAAAGGCCCAAGAGCCCCTAGCAAACTACTGGTGTAAGTCCAAGAGTCCAAAAGCTGAAGAAACCGGAGTCTGATGTTGGAGGGCAGGAAGCATCCAGCATGGGAGAAAGATGAAGGCCAGAAGACTTAGCAAGTCTGTTCTTCCATCTTCTCCTGCCTGCTTTATTCTAGCCAACCTGGCAGCTGATTAGATGGTGCCCACCTAGAATGAGGATGAGTCTGCCTCTCTCAGTCCACTGACTCAAATATTAATCTCCTTTGGTAACACCCTCACAGACATACCTGGGAACAATACATTGTATGCTTCAATCCAATCAAATTGACACTCAATATTAACCATCACACCTACTAAGTTTTTTCCTATACATACATGTCTATAATAAAGTTTAGTTTATAAATTAGGCACAATAAGAGATTACCAATAGTACTACTAATAAAATAGAGTAATTACAACAATATGTTGTAATATAAGTTATGCATATGTAGTCATTCTCTCTCTTCTCTATCAATCAAAATACGTTTGGACTGCAGTTGACCATGGATAACTGAAACTGCAGAATGCAAAACTGCAGATAAGTGGAGGGGAGGGCACTATTTTGTGGTTAGAATATAGATGCTGAGTAGCCTACATAGGGAACTATGCTACTTTTTCTTTCTGGGAAACGCTATCCCTTTCTTGCCTTCTCTCTTTTGATGGGTTGTAAATGTGAGATCTACATTTCTCAGACTCCCTTGTTTCTAATCTAGATTCTGCCACATTTTGCCAAGAAAATACACTCTCAAAAGAACTTATAGAAAAACAGGAGTCAAAGCCATTTTCTAAAAGTAATAACGGTTGTGTGAACTCCTGAAAATCTGAGGGTTTGCAGAAGCCTTTATGTGTTTCCCTGCAGGAAACCTGCCCCATTGCTGCAGGGCATCTGTGATTTCAGAGGTAGTTCCTCACAGTTCTGTCTAGTGCAGTTGCAGCAATTTCTTTCTTATTAATACCACAGTGGCTGTGTTGAGCCTCAAAGCTAGCAGTGGTCTCTTCTGTCTGTTGATCCTCTAGCACCTAATTCCTGATGCTGAATTCTATTTACAATGCCTCCTGTGGTGTCTGCTTTATAAGATGTTTAGTCTATGTTTTCTTTGGTTATGAATTCTGCAATCTTGTCACTTCCCCAAATGAACACATTTCCATATTTACCACAGCCAGATAAGAGAGAGATAAGAGCATCCTGGCTCATTCCATAAGTGACATCCCTTTTTGTTCCTATAACTAGTCACATGGCCCCCCAAAATTTCAAAGGCCCTGGGATGTGTCACCTCCATTGGCTGAGAAAAAAAATGGAGAACTGGATATTTCTGAATGTGATGTGTGAATATGTAAGAGAAAAATATTCTAAACAAGGAAAGAAGCTAAACTGTAGGTACTTGAGGCAGAAGACTATCTCTAATATTCAAGAAGCAGTGAGAATGCTGTGTGTCTGGAGCTTAGCAATTGAGGCTATGAGTAATATGTGATAAAGTCAGAGGTAATGGGGTAGAAGCGGAAAGCTGATCACAAAGCAATTTAAAGGTCCTAGTAAGAATGCTGGCTTTCAATCTGAATGACATGCGAATGTACTGGAGAGTTTTGAACCTAGGGGTGACATGATCTGACTTGTGTTTTAACACTCACTTGCATTTGCCACTCTGGCATTGAGACAAGCAGTTGGGAATTTATTGGCATAATCCAGGTAAAAGATAATAATGACTTAGGCCCAAGAAGAAAGTGGAGGCCAATATTCAACATCCTTAAAGAAAAGAAGTTTAAAGCCAGAATTTCATATCCGGCCAAACTAAACTTCATAAGTGAAGGAGAAATAAAATCCTTATCAGACAAGCAAATGCTGAGGATTTTGTCACCACCAGGCCTGCCTTGCAAGAGCTCCTAAAGGAAGCACTAAATATGGAAAGGAAAAACCCGTTCCAGCCACTGCAAAAACACACCAAAATATAAAGAGAGATAACACTATGAAGAAACTGCATCAACTAGTATGCAAAACAACCAGATAACATTATGATGACAGAATCAAATTCACACATAACAATATTAACCTTAAATGTAAATGGGCTAAATGCCCCAATTAAAAGACACAGACCAGCATATTGGATAAAGACTCAAGACCCATCAGTGTGCTATATTCAGGAGACCCATCTCATGTGCAAAGACATACATAGGCTCAAAATAAATGGATGGGGAGGAAAATTTACCAAGCAAATAGAAAGAAAAAAAAGGCGTCACAATCCTAGTCTCTGACAAAACAGACTTTAAACTAGCAAAGATCAAAAAAGACAAAGAATGGCATCACATAATGGTAAAGGGATCAATTCAACAAGAAGAGCTAACTATCCTGAATATATATGCACCAAATACAGTACACCCAGATTCATAAAACAAGCTCTTACAGACCTACAAAGAGACTTAGACTCCCAAACAATAACAGTGGGAGACTTTAACATCCCACTGTCAATGTTAGATCAATGAGACAGAAAATTAACAAGGGTATTCAAGACTTGAACTCAGCTCTGGATCAAGTGGACTTAACAGACATCTACAGAACTCTCCACCCCAATCAACAGAATATACATTCTTCTCAGTGTTACATGGCACTTATTCTAAAATCAACTGCATAATTGGAAGTAAAACATTCCTCAGCAAATGCAAAAGAACTGAAATCATAACAAAAAGTCTCTCAGACCACAGTGCAATCAAATTAGTACTCACGATTAAGAAATTCACTCAAGGGGCTGGGCATGGTGGCTCACACCTGTAACCCCAGCACTTTGGGAGGCCAAGGCAGGCGGATCACGAGGTCAAGAGATCAAGACCATCCTGGCCAACATGGTGAAACCCCATCTCTACTAAAAATTACAAAAATTTTCCGGTCATGGAGGTGTGTGCCTGTTCACAGCTACTCGGGAGGCTGAGGCAGGAGAATCACTTGAACCAGGAGGTAGAGGTTGCAAAAAAGAAAAGAAACAAGAAATTCACTCAAAAATACACAACTACATGGAAATTCAACAATCTGCACCTGAATGACTCCTGGATAAATAACGAAATTAAGGCAGAAATCAAGAAGTTCTTTGAAATGAATGAGAACAAAGAGGTAACCTACCAGTATCTCTGGGACACAGCTAAATCAGTGTGTAGAGGGAAATTTGTAGCACTAAATGCCCTTATCAGAAGGCTAGAAAGATCATAATTTGACACCAAAACATCACAATTGAAAGAACTAGAGAAGCAAGAGCAAACAAATCCAAAAGCTAGCAGAAGACAATAAATAACTAAGGTCAGAGCAGAACTCACAGAGATAGAGATACGAAAAATCCTTCAAAAAATCAATGAATCCAGGAGCTAGATTTTTGAAAAAAAATTAGCAAAATAGACGGACCGCAAGCTAGACTAATAAAGAAGAAAAGAGAGAAGAATCAAATAGACACAATAAAAAATGATAAAGGGAATATCACCACTGACCCTACAGAAATACAAACTAACATCAGAGAATGCTAGAAACACCTCTATGCAAATAACCTAGAAAATCTAGAAGAAATGGTAAATTCCTGGACACACACAACCTCCCAAGACTAAACCAGGAAGAAGTTGAATCCCTGAATAGACCAATAACAGGTTCTGAAATTGAGGCAGTGTTTAATAGCCTACCAACCAAAAAAAGCCCAGGACTAGATCGATTCACAGCCGAATTCTACCAGAGGTATAAGGAGGAGCCAGTACCATTTCTTCTGAAACTATTCAAAACAATTGAAAAGGAGAGACTCCTTCCTAACTCATTTTATGAGGCCAGCATCATCCTGACACCAAAATTTGGCAGAGACACAACAAAAAACCCCCAAAACTTTAGGCCAATAACCTTGATGGATACCAACGCAAAAATCCTCAATAAAATACGGGCAAACTGAATCCAGCAGCACATCAAAAAGCTTATCCACCACCACCAAGTTGGCTTCATCCCTGGGATGCAAGGCTGGTTCAACATATGCAAATCTATAAATGTAATCCATCACATAAACAGAACCAATGACAAAAACCGCATGATTATCTCAATAGATGCAGAAAAGGCTTTTGATAAAATTCAACATCTCTTTATGTTAAAAACTCTCAAACTAGGTATTGATGGAACATAACTCAAAATAATAACATCTGTTTATGACAAACCCACAGCCAATATCATACTGATTGGGCAAAAGCTGGAAGCATTCCCTTTGAAAACTGGCACAAGACAAGGATGCCTTCTCTCACCACTCCTATTCAACATAGTACTGGAATTTCTGGCCAAGGCAATCAAGCAAGGGAAAGAAATAAAGGGTATTCAAGTAGGAAGAGAGGAAGTCAAATTGTCTCTGTTTACAGATGACATGATTCTATGTTTAGAAAACCCAATCATCTCAGCCCAAAAACTCCCTAAGCTGATAAGCAACCCCAGCAAAGTCTCAGGATACAAAATCAATGTGCAAAAATCACAAGCATTCCCATATACCAAAAATAGACAAGCAGAGAGCCAAATCATGAACGATCCCCTATCCACAATTGCTACAAAGAGAATAAATTACCTAGGAATATACCTAACAAGGGACACGAAGGACCTCTTCAAAGAGAACTACAAACCACTGCTCAAGGAAATAAAACAGAACACAAACAAATGGAAAAACATTCCATCCTCATGGGTAGGAAGAATCAATATTGTGAAAATAACCATACTACCCAAAATAATTTATAGATTCAATGCTATTCTCATCAAACTGCCATTGACATGCTTAACAGAATTAGAAAAAAAAACTTCTTTACATTTCATATGGAACAAATAAAAGCCCATATAGGGAAGACAATCCTAAGCCAAATTAACAAAGCTAAAGGCATCATGCTGTCTCACTTCAACCTATACCTCAAGGCTACAGTAACCAAAACAGCATGATGCTGGTACCCAAACAGACATAAACACCAATGGAACAGAACAGAGACCTCAGAAATAACACCACACATCTACAACCATCTGATCTTCAACAAACTTGACAAAAACAAGCAATGGGGAAAGGATTCCCTATTTAATAAATGGTGCTGGAAAAACTGGCTAGCCATAAGCAGAAAACTGAAACTGGACCACTTCCTTACACTTTATACAAAATTTAATTCAAGATGGATTAAAGACTTAAATGTAAAGCCCAAAACCATAAAAACCCTAGAAGAAAACCCAGGCAATGCCATTCAGCACATAGGCATGGGCAAGGATTTCATGATGAAAATGCCAAAGCAGTTGCAACAGAAGCTAAAATTGACAAATGGGATCTAAATAAACTAAAGAGCTTCTGCACAGCAAAAGAAACTATCAACAGAGTGAACAGGCAACCTACTGAATGAGAGAAAAGTTTTGCAATCTGACAAAGGTCTAATATCCAGAATCTACAAGGAACTTAAATTTATGAGAAAAGAACAAACAATCCCATCGAAAAATGGGCAAAGGATATGAACAGACACTTTTCAAAAGACACGTATATGGTCAATAGACACATGAAAAAAACCTCAACATCACTAATCATTAGAGAAATGCAAATCAAAACCACAGTGAGATACCACCTCATGCCAGTCAAAATGGCAATTATTAAAAAGTCAAGAAACAAAAGATGCTGGTGAGGTTGTGGAGAAACAGGAATGCTTTTACACTGTTGGTAGGAATCTAAATTAGTTCAACCACGGTGGAAGATAGTGTGGCTATTCCTCAAGGATCTAGAACAAGAAATACCATTTGACCCAGTAATCCCATTACTGGGTATATACCCAAGGGAATATAAATTATTCTACTCTAAAGACACATGTACATGTATGTTTATTGCAACACTATTCACAATAGCAAAGACATGGAAACAACTTAAATGCCCATCACTGATAGACTGAATAAAGAAAATATGGTACATATACACCATGGAATACTATGCAGCTGTAAAAAGGAATGAGATCATGTTCTTTGCAGGGATGACTGGCAAAGCTGGATGGATGAAGCTGGAAACCATCATCCTCAGCAAACCAACATAGGAACAGAAAACCAAACACCACATATTCTCACTTAAAAGTAGGAGTTGAACAATGAGAACACATGAACCCAGGGAGGGGAACAACATACACTGGGGCCTGCTGAGGGTTAGGGGCAAGGGGAGGGAACCAAGATGATGGGTTAATAGGTGCAGCAAACCACCATGGCACACGTGTACCTGTGTAACAAACCTGCACATTCTGCACATGTATCCCAGAAATTAAATAAAATAAATAAATAAAAAATAAGAGCTTAGGCCCGTATGGTAAATAAAAAATAATAGCTTAGGCCAGGATGGGGAGAAGAGCTTCTGTATATAGTTTGAAGATTTAGACAACAAGATCGATTGATGGACTGGATGTGGTATATGGGAGAAAAAAATAAATCAAGGATGACTTCAAGTTTTTGGCTAGAACAACAGGAATAGTAGAATTGCTATTAGCTTGAAAACACAGTCATTCAAGGAAGCAATGGGGAGAGTGGATATTAAAAGCTTGGTTTTAGACATGCTAATTTTGAGATGAAAAACCAAGCAGGAAGGTTAATATATGAGTCTGATATTAAGGACTAAGATCTGTAGTAAGGAGATATATTTTGAGGTAATTAAAAATTAGATGGTAATTAAAGGCATGAAACCAGGTAAGATCACTTGATGAGCATGAAAAGTCCAAGGATTAAGCCCTGGCACTTTCATATTAAGAAGCTGGGAAAATGAGGAGGACCTAGCAATGAGACTGGGAAACAGATGCCATTGAAGTAAGAGAAAAGCAAGGGAAGTGGGGTCTCCTGGAAGCCAAGTAAGGGAGACGTTTATAGGGGGTGAGTGATTACATGAGTCAAGGGATGCTGATAATCAAGTAATATGAGGCTTGGGAATTGACACTTAGCTTTTGCAATGTGAAGCATCTTAATAATAGCAGTTTGTATGAAATGGTCTGAGTTAAAATATCATAGATGTGTCTTCTCCATACACATTTAATCTTTCCAAATGCTTTACTGTCTTTGTTGTTTGTCTCACCATTAAAATATAATCTTAATTTTTTAATTTTAAGTTACTGATTCCATTGCTTACTGTATCTCATTTATTTAATATTTCATAAGGGTATAAGTGTTATGTTTAATTTGCTTTAATCTTTTATTCTTGTTTCATATTCAGGTTCTTTCCCATTTCTAGATAATATAAACTTCGCTTATGTAAATTTTTCTTCTATTTCCTTGGGATTATGTTTTTTTTCTAAAACAGGTTTTTCATCTTTCCTTTCCTATTTCTTTCTTCCCTTACTTGCAGTCATTTTTCCTGCCTTCCTTTCTTAGTACTTCCAAAGAGTTGCTCTTCATTTTGCATAGCTTGTTCATGAACATCTCTTGTTAGGATTTTATTACCTAAATGTAGGGTAGTTAGATAGTCCTTGATATCTGTTTCTTCTTTCCCTGCCTTGCCTGGTTTCTATGTTTAGCCTTATCAAACCAAGCTGAAAGTAGAATCTAATTAATTTCAGCCTGCATTTCCTTTTTTTAACATGTATTGGAAAAATAGCTCATAGATAGCAGAATATGCTCTGCTTAGAGACTGTGTCAAATATTGGAGAGAACACGCATCACTTCTATTGTGGAACAGCAGTCAAGTCACCTTAATCACTTTGGTGCAGTTTCTTCACAGTAAAATAAAAATATAAAATTTGATTAATTTTAAAGACCTTCCCAGATGAAAATTTCTATGTTTCTAATAACATTAACTTACTCCTCAGTCCTATAGAATACTCTATATTTCCAGTTCCACAAATGTTTTATTATATTTTTCAGTATATCTTGAAAACACCAGTGCATTTTATTCTTGTTAAAAATCTACCCTATAGATTTGTTAATATGGTAAGAATTAGAAAAAAATGACTCACTTTATATATAAGGCATTCCATTATTCAAAACTTTCTCTTTCTCATTACCAGAACATTAAAAACCAAACATCACTCAACATTTTGACTCATAGAGGACAACTGTTGGTCCAATTACAAAAATGTATGATTAAATGCTAAACTATGTATAGACATATTAAGTGGGCTTTCTTTCTTACTTTAAAAAATTATAATTAAGGAAAATAAGCTATTCACTGATTGACGCTAAGCATGGCTACATTATTTGAGCATCATATTAACTTTTCCTGAAAGACTTTCAAATTACCTCTAATTTTATTCTAATTTTCACTGCAAAGTGAGTGACATAACTATAATTTTCTCATTGAAAATATAATATACTTCTCTCTCAATGCACAAATGCACCTCAGTTTTCAATGCAAGAGTGAAAATCTTTCTTCTTAAAGCTTTGGAGCTTATTGCCATTATAATGAAATAAGCAAAGTGGCTATTGTTTGAGTGTGCATGTGATTTTAGAGAACTGTTTTGGAATGAATGATATTTTCATTTTTCTGCTTCTTAACAACAGCTACCTCCTTTCTGAGATATAAATTCCATCTGAACCCATGACTTATTTCCAATCAGATAGAAAATGTAGGCTGAAATCTTGCAGTTAGGTTAATAGAAACCCAAATATTTTCATACAGATTAACAGCACAAAGAATTTATTGCAGCATGAGAACAGAGCATTACATTTCCAATATTTTTAATAAATGTAATAAGCAGATCCCAGAGGACTGACCTCAAGTAAGTTCTTAGATGCACTCCTCAGTCGTGTGATAAATATTAACAGTTAAGCTAGAAATGTGGGGAAAATTCAATAACCTCATTTATACTGATAGTTAATTTTGGGATGGTCATGTCAACCACCACAACATTGCATACCTCAGCATTCTTTAGAGCAGCCAAGTATATTTGACTGTACTAAATATTTTGTTGTGTGTATAGATTTAACAGCAGTCGTTGATTTGGTGCAGAAACTTGTACCATATACATAATGCAGATAGTTGACAAATAGTAGGTTTTGAAAGAAAAACTTGAAGATTAAAGTTGATTTTTGAAATATGGCTCCACTGACTAGTCTTGAGTAAGTCGCTTTCCTCAGTTTCCATTTTTTTCCTGTAAAATAAAGATGATAATACTTTCTGCCCTCTCTAAGTCATAAGGCTTTTAATGAGAGACATAACAGCATTTTCAAGATATTTTATAAAGAAGTTTCTGTTCATTGATGGAGGTACCACTGTTAAAAAAAAAAAAAAAGTGATGAAACTATTGCATTTGATAGAAACTACCAGAAAACTCAGTGAGTCACAATAATATTTATTTATTTCTCTCTTACGTATCTGCAGTTGGCTGGAGTTCAGCTGACCTAGGCTGGGTTTGTTGGGTTTGGCTCCAAACTATAGGTTAAGTTCAGGTTGGTTTCACATGTCTCTCATTCTCCTTGGACAAACAGCTATCTGAAACATATCTGAAACTCAAGGGAAAAGTTAGGCACACAAGAATACAAATCCAGTTGCACAAACACATTTCAGGCCTTTGATCCTGGCACTTCTGCTAACATTGTATTGTCAAAGCAAGTCACATGTTCCAGACAATCCACAATGGAACAAAGAAATATTTTCCACTTCTTATGGGAGGAAGTGCAGAGTCACATGGCAAAGGTCATGGATCAGAGGAGAGGAAAGAATTGAGAACCATATGCAGGTAACAATAGCAGGAATTTTGCTTAGCACTATTTCTCTTCAACATTTAGAAATCTATTTAAAATAGCATTTGTCAGAGTATCTTCCTTTTCAATTATCTTTTGCAAAATATATATGCTTTGTATTGAGGACTATATATATATATATTTTCTTTTTTTTGAGACAGAGCCTAACTCTGTCGCCAGGCTGCAGTGCAGTGGTGCGATCTTGGCTTACTGCAACCCCTGCCTCCCGGGTTCAAGCAATTCTCCTGCCTCAGCCTCCACATTAGCTGGCACTACAGGCCTGCCCCACCACGCCCAGCTAATTTTTGTATTTTTAGTAGAGATGGGGTTTCACCATGTTGGCCAAGATGGTCTGGATCTCCTCACCTCGTGATCCACCCACCTCGGCCTTCCAAAGTGCTGGGATTACAGACGTGAGCTACTGCACCCAGCCAAGGACTATATATTTTACTGCAGTCAATTATTTAAGTGTATTTCAAAAGGCTACTACCCCATCTCCAAGACCACTGTGAGGAATGTCCTTTAAAAATGAAAGCCCACTACAAAGTTGTCTTGAAATTAAAACTGTGGGGATAATATCTCAACTAGAGATTAATGTATTAGATAATTTAAATTTATCAAATGACTTCATTTTAACATTTAACATTACACGACCAGTGAAATGGACGGAGCAAGGCCCTACTCCTCAATCATTTCCAGTAAAGTATACGTGTGTGCACATGAATATGCATATGCAGGAACAGACTCAGTTGGTTGCTTTATGAAATAGACCTTTACATTTCTGGACATATATTTCATATCTGTCTAGTTGAACCCCTTTCTTTGTTGTCTTCCCTATTATTTTTACTGTGCTTATTTTCAACTTCCATTTCAAATTGCAATTGTTCCTTCCCAATACGGCATAGTGGAAAACAAGGAAGGTTGTAGAATCAAGTCCTCTGCCACTTATTATTTCTTCAAAACTGAATAAACTACCTAGACTTTCTGAATTGGTTTCCTTAAAGTAACTTGAGGAAAACAAGACTAGTATGATTTGGCTGTCTCCCCGCTCAAATCTCATCTTGAATTTGTATTTGTTGAGGGAGGGATCTGGTGGGAGGTAATTGAATCATGGTTCATGATAGTGCTGTTTTCATGATAGTGAATAAGACTCACGAGATCTGATGGTTTTAGAAAGAGGAGTTCCCCTGCACGATTTCTCTTTCTTTGCCTGCTGCCATCCATGTAAGATATGACTTGCTCCTCCTTGCCTTCCACCATGATTGTGAGGCTTCCCAGCCACGTGGAACTGTAAGTCCAATTAAACCCCTTTCTTTTGTAAATTGCCCAGTCTCGGGTATGTTTTTATCAGCAGCATGAAAACGGACTAATACAAAGAGCTGGATTGTAAAGTTGTAAGAATAAATGTCTTGGTTTCTAGAATAGTTCCATTGGTCAAAGGTAAAAATGCCATATGCTTGATCTTTATTATTATACACATCATTCATCCTAATACTGAAAAAAGCCAAACCAACCTATAGAGAATCTTGATTATATTTGTGGTTGCTATGAAACATCCATATTTACAAAGATATTTTGATGCACACCTCCTCAGATAAAAGCCAGAATTCCATTTCCTAGCTTCCTTTATGCATGGATACAAGCATGTGACCTACATTCTACCAATCAGATGCAATAGCACAGTAGTTCAATGTATGTGCTAACACATCTGTGACCCCTTTGCCTCTCCACTGCTGTACTGCCTTGTACAAGCTCACTTGAGAGAGTCACTTTCAGAGAGAAGCAAGTTCTCTTCATGCTCCTCGTCTACCACTTCTTATCATCTGCAAGTCTATCACTAGAGTCATAGCCCATCATGTTCTGTGGGGCCAATTACAAATTCAGACTTGAGAGGGGAACATATCCATGAGTAAAACCTGGATTATATGTGTGAGTATGGACTCTGAGGGTGTTAGACCAGGGAGGAATATAATTTAGATCACACTGAGGTTATTGATCTGAGTGTAGTTCCAGAAGGCTTCTGGACAGAATGCCTAACCTCAAGCAAGTGGGCCTACTATACCTTATTTTGGTTAATTAGACTGAGAAAATTAATCTCTTATGGGCTCCATTAAATGATATTAAGATGCCATAAATTCTTTGGAACAATGAGGAGAATGGATTCATCATGTTAAAACGGATCTTTCCATACCCCCTACCCACAAGTCTTCCCTCATAGAGTAAGCTCTGGTTCACTTTTATTTCCGTCACCAATTTCTGTATTCTATATAGGGCCCACCTTTGGCAATCTTCATTTTAGAATGAAAAAAAAAGTATTTTACATCATAAGAGAGATTTAGACTAGAAGAAAACTACTGGTGTATGTTCCCTTTACATAAAAAGTCTGGAAAATGATAATGATAATGATATGAATCTCATAGTCTTCATAGGGACCTCAAAGCAGCTTCCTTCTCCCAGGCAATTCTACTTCTGTGGAGTGTGTATGTGAGAGGGTGAGTGAAAGTTTATGACAGGGTGTAAAATAAAACTATCCTCTATTCTTAACTGTTATACAGAATAGTCATAATTATGCATTTGATTGGCTGTGTATCAGGTTAGCTTTATTTTATAGATATGCATCTCAAAACCTATCATGGCAATCAGTCTTTAAACTTTATCAGGTGAACTAATCACCTTATGAGAATCTTAAAAAAATTGAAAGGACTGTGGCTTTAGTGTAAATCAATGGTTGTCAGGATTCCCTTGCAGTCTTGAAATATTTTGAAGACCCAAAGAGATTTTGTTTATACAGATTTATCTATTTGTATTTAACAATTAAAAGTAAAATTCAAAAACAACAAAGCTGGAGGCATCACACAACCTGATTTCAATCTACTGTATACTACAAAGCAATAGTAATTAAAACAGCATGGTACTGCTGTTTTATAAACATAGGCACATTGACCAATGGAATATAATAGAGAACCCAGAAATAAACCTGTATATGTTCTGTCCATTGATTTTGACAAAGATGCCAAAGGGGAAAGGACAATCTCTTCAATAATTGGTGTGGGAAAAACTGGATATCCAAATGCAGAAGACTGAAATTGGGCCTTATCATACACAATATGCAAAAAATCAACCCAAAACGGATTAAAGACTTAACATAAAACTTGAACCTTTAAAGCTACTAGAAGAAATCAGGGGAAAAATTACATGACATTGGTCTGCGCAATAATTTTTTAAATTTGACCCTGAAAGCACAGAGAATGAAAGGAAACCTAGGAAAAATGGATTACATAAAACTAAAAAGATTTGTATAGCAAAGGAAACAGCAAGGTCAAGAAACAATTTACAAATTGGGAGAAAATATTTTCTAACCACTTACAACTGAATGCAAAATATCTAAGGGACTCAAACAGATGAATAGCAAAAAACAACAACAACAAAAACAAAACAAACAAAAAAACCCAACTAAAAGAAGGGCAAAAGACATGAATAGACTTTTCTCAAAAGAAAACATATAAATGGCTAACAGATATATTAAAAAGTGTTCCACATCACTAATCATTAGGGAAATGAAAATTGAAACCACAAGATATCACCTCACATCTATCAGAATTAGCTATTATTAAAAAGTCAAGTGATAGCGAGTGTTGGTCAGGAGGTGGAGGAAAGGGAATTCTTGTACACTGTTGGTGGGGATTAAATTAGTGCAGCCATTATGGAAAACTGTATGGAAGTAACTCAAAGAAACAAAAACAAGAATTACCATATGATTCAGCAATCTCACTTTTGGGTATTTACCCAAAAGATTTGAAATAAATATGTCAAAGAGATGTCTGCACTCCTATGTTCATTGCAGCTCCATTCACCACAGCCATGTTATAAAATCAACTTCAGTGCCCATCAACAAATGGATACAGAAAATGTGGTATATATATATATGTAATGAAATAATATTCAGCCTTAAATAAGTTCTGTCATTGTGACAACATGGATGAACCTGGAGGACAGTATGCTAAGTGAAATAACCTAGGCACGGAAAGACAAATACCACATGTCCTCATTTATAAATGGAATCTAAAACAATCAAATTCAAAGAAGCAGAGAGTAAATTAGTGATTACCTGAGGCTGTGGGGTGGACGCAATGTGGAAATGATGGTCATAGGGTACAAAGCCTCAGGCAGAAGAAATAATTTCTTTCTTAGATCTATCGCACAGCATGGTGAATATATTTAATAATAGTGTATTATACATTTCAAAACTGCTATGAGAATAAATTTCAAATGCTGTCACCACAACAGATGATACGTATGTGAGGTGATAGATACATTAGTTACGTTGATTTAACTATTCCACATTGTATTCAAAATCAACACATAACTTCGTACCTAAGAAATCCATACAACCACAATTTGTCAATAAAAATAAAGTAAGCTGAGAACTTTTAAAACATGAAACTACAAAAGTGAACATTCCATTAGCTGTCAAAGAGATGATGTCATCACACGTAACTTCTGAAAAAATCACAGACACTCAGAAAATGAGAGTGAAAAAGTAAAATAATATCTCGATACTATTATGAAAATATTTTTGACCTTGTGGATCCCCAGAAGGATCTCAATAAGTCCCAAGAGTTCAGAAGTTCTTGAACCACATGTCGAGAACAACTGGTGTAAGTAATTTTCTTTCTTCTGAACCCAAATATAATTACCATCCAAACTGTGTATATTAACCTTTAAAGGAGAAGGAATGTATATTTTGATTTCCCTATTAGAATATAGCTCCTAGAGAGCTTATCTTTAAGTTTTTTTCTCTACTGAACGATCATACAACCATCCAACAATCCTTGCTTGTTTCCTCCATATGCTGTTTATTATAATATTACCCACTTGTCAATAAAGTAATTATCATATACATTGGGAACTATTTAACTGATCAATGAATATGTCATTGATACTACCTAGTTGATACATTTTCTTTCTTACAGATATTGTGTATTTTATTTTTTTTAAACATCGAGTGGTCTTTGACAGGACAACAAAAGCAATGTATAACACAAAAGGTCACTACCCTTCAGTACATTTTTTATTAATCTATTTTCTTTATGAATAAAAATTTTATATGATAGATTTGATGTTTTTAAAAATATAAGCAAATAACACTTTCACTCTAAGTAAAAACATTTGACTTTAAAACAATATTTTAAACCCCCTTTCTCTGAGCCTTGCCACAGGAACTTTGTTGTATAATTACTTAGCTCTAAATTCAGCTCTCCAAACCATTTTCAGTTACTACTAAAGCCAAGTTTTTGAAAGAGTCATTTATCAAAATTACTAAGCTCAGGATGCTGAAATGAATTTATAAAAATTGCTATTATAATTTGGCCTAAATCTATGGCTTTATAACATGCATAGTATATATGGGCTTACATTAGTGGAAACATTAACTAAAATCTGGCCTCAAGTTAGAACTTGATGCCATCATAAGTAACTTGAAATAGCTCAAGCTATAGGCTTCTCTAGGAGATAATTATAATAAAAGCTACTGTATACTGCATAGCTCAGTACCGTGTACTAGGAACTATGCCCAGCCCTTTACATCTCTCATTGTAATCCATGCGGCCATGCCTAGAAGCACCTATCATAATCCCCATTTCATAGGTAATTAAATGGAAGTTCAGAGAAGGTAGGAATCTTGGCAGTCACCTGGATTTCCACCCAGGTTTGACATGAAAGCTGTGTATTCTAATTCCTTAATACAAAGAAGTTAAGTAATTATATGGATCAGAAGTTTAGTTAGTAGTAGTACCAAATAAAGCTGAATTCACAACAAAGATCTGTAGCTCACTTGTGCTACATGTCCATCATGGGTTAGCTGTGGGCTCTCTTCCATGTTTTCCTTACTCAAAAATGCAAGTTAATAAGGGTCCATCCCCTCTATTATCAGTTGTTGCTGCAACAGGGAAAGAGGACATGGAGAGTTGTATGCTGGCTGTTAAAGGCATCACCTTTATTCACATTTTATTTGCCAAGTCAAATGGCTAGGCCTACCTTCAAGAAGGTGAATCCCACTACATGCTGAGAAGAAAACAAGTGATAATCAAAGCAGTCTTTTTGAAATTTTGAGTAAAATACGCTACTTCTCCAAATGTTAGTTCTTTTGACACAACCTGAAATAAAAAATAAAATTGGTTTGGGTTTGTGATCTTTTTTATGAAAATAGACAATTATACCTGAAATTGTAATCATATTCCTTCTTTAGAAACTTCAAGGGTAACTAGTCATAAAATTCCTGGAAAAATTATGGAAACTTGTTCTTATACTTCCGATCCTTTTTAGCAAGATTAAAAATGTGCTTCAATTAGAAGTATAATGTTTATATTATTTCAATGTGACAGTTATGCTATTAGATGTGACATTCTTAGAGATTACAGCTTGCCTTTTGAAAGAAGCTACCAATTTACTAGTCTGTCAAAGAAATAGCTCACTGAGATTTAAGACATTATATATATTTTTTGTCTCCTTTCTCAACCCTTAGCCAACATCACTCCCTTCTTGCCCTAGGTTCTTATCAACATTGGAGAGTCAGTATCAGGATAAGTTTGTCATCTGCAAGAAAGAAGAACCTCAGTATATTCTTAAATTTTTAGTTCATTTAAAAAAAATGAGCAAATAAGTTATTGGGTTTCAAGTGAATAGGTAGGACATTATGGTAGCGTAGAAAAGTCTAGGGCTTTTTGCCTGGTGATCTGTGTTAAAACCTGTTTCTCTTGTACTTGCAGAGGTGAGACTAGAAAAAAAGGTCTGCTACTCCATTAAATGATTATTTTTCAAATTCACAAGCAACTTTGAGGTATACGACATGGAAATGATCTTTTTAAGTGTAACAGAGACGTCTTTCAAGCCATGGCCATCTCATCTACTATCATTATGAAAGCCATCATTGGAGCAGGTAGTCAGTATCTAACCACTGAAGCTGACCTGGAGAGTCAGCCCAGGCAAAGCTATCTGTGTCCCATAGAGATCAAAACATGTATCGGTCCACCATTTTGAAAATCTAATCATACCCTGCCCCACCGGGGAATATTAAATGAATGGATCTATTTCAGCCATTGTAAAAGAATAAGTGGAGTCCAACCAAGTAAGCAATCTGTGCTGTGGGAACCTGTTGTCCAACTGTATAAAAACTACTTCCAAAGCCAATATATAGGTGAGTCACTTCAGGCATTCTGTTAATGGCCTGAAACAAAGTATATGGCAGATACGGAATTTAAATTGTAGAGAAGTTTATATATATGTTAAATATTAGCTGGTATAGTAATATTGTCCCTAAAACTAGTACAGGTACCTCCAAAAATACTTTTATTTTTTAGGTAAAAGATAAAATACATTATAACACTTCCCTTTGTATGAAATAAATAATACCCTTATTCATTTCTCCTGGACTAACTGGCTTGAGAGCCAGCAAAACATAAGCAGCTCTCACAGTGCTATCAGACTCAGGAATATCACTGAAGCTACAAACATCCTGATTCCAGGGTTTCCTTCCTCCTCACTGATGTCTCTTACATTATGATTTTGTTGAAGTCAGTTCTTTTCTACTGGTGACTCTCATGGTTCCATGTTCTGCCATAAGGAGACCATGTCTTTTTTTTGTGTGTTGGAGTCTTGCCTGTTACCCAGGCTGGTGCAGTGGCATAATCTTGGCTTACTGTAGCCTCCACCTCCCAAGTTCAAGTGATTCTCCTGCCTCAGCCTCCTGAGTAGCTGAGACTACAGGTGTACGCCACCACACCCAGCTAACTTTTTTTATTTTAAGTAGTTACGGGGTTTCGCCATGTTGGCTAGGCCAGTCTTGAACTCCTGACCTCAAGTGATCCACCTTCCTTGGCCTCCCAAAATGTTGGGATTACAGGCGTGAGCCACTACGCCTAGCCAGGCTATGTCTTTTAATGCCTATGGAACATTAAAATCAAACATCAATCAAATAAAAACTGTCATCCAGACAACTATTGTACTGCCACTTAGATCTCAAACTCCCCATCCTCCCAAAGTGATACAATTTGCTGCCATTTTCATATCCTGGAGAGCAACATCCCTGAAGTGTGTAGAGAGTGACCCCACTTTCTCTAGCAATGAATACTACATACTAAATATCCCTAAGTCTTAGGGAAAGTTCCCAGGGGCTATGCTGAGGGCATTAGATGATACCAGTGTTGTACTGAAACATCACATCTCCATGCACAAATTCCTCAAACCTTTCCTATATCACGGTGAGTTCTTGCTAACTTGGGACATTCCAGGTCCAGAGATTTAGACATGTTTGTTGTCTTTTTCATTTAGAATTGATAGTCCGACTGAGACAGAACACATTTATCATTACCATAATCATCATTGCTTTTTCTCCTAGGAGGAGAAATATTTTCTCCACATGTAAGAAAAAAAGCTAGAGACCTGTTCTATGTCAAAGAGTTCTCAAAGTCAGTTATTAAATATATAATTAAATAAAATACACAATAGGCATGTATATGGGTATCATGTTTTTGATTTTAATAAAGTCTACCTTTTTCTCACCTATTTTACTGCATGCTTTCAAAAATGCTCCCCACATTCAAGAAAACCATCTTCCAATATGTACCTTTAGGCTCTGCCAACCATATTTCTCACTATTCTAAATTAAATGAATATATCATAGCCAGAGACCAATTTTTTTAATGGTGAAACACTGGAACTGTTAAGCTTAAACAATTTGCAATGTTATAATTAAGGTAGAGAAAAATGAACAATTATGAAGTGTTAAAAACACAAAGTACTCAATGTACCTATTCAAGCTTCCAAGAGCTCCCACCAGCCAAATGAAGCAAGGCAAAATGGAAATGGCAAAAGCTAAATCATAGGTCTATACCCTTTGGGTTCCAATTCTTGTGTGTTATGTCATTCTAATAATTAGTCTGAATCTAGAGTATAAAGAAAAAGAAAACAGAGTAATACTACTTCATACTTAGCCCTTACCTCCTTCTTTTCATTCATTTGAGTCTCAAAGAGTCTGAAATACCCGTGTTAGGGAATACTGCCATAAGCTGTTGAGAGCTAATTAAAATTCAAATGCTACTTGGAAATTTTACAATCTTTTTCTTTAGTTTATCCATAAATGTAAAATATGTGTCTGAAGTAGCTCACTCTCTCTGTGTCTGTCATTCCATCGCACCATGGCTCTGGGGGCATCATTCTTAGTGAACTATCAGCTTGCAAAGAATAGGAGGCATCAGGATTTCACACTGGCCTCACCTCAAAATCCAATTGCTGGCCTCACACAGCTCAGTTATTAACTTCACTGGGATGTGTATAATTTATTATTTATACTGACCTATTAGGGCTAATTGTAATCAGGGGTATTTTTGTGTGCCTAAGTGTTAATTGCTACCAGTAGCTGAGGTGGTAATTGGATCTGGGAATGAAGTCTAGAACAAACTGTCTTCAGAAATACCCAGAGCTTCAGAGGTAGCGGCTGATTGCTTTGCAGCCCTCCAGTCTCCTTAGCTCCCGAGGGTTTCAACTGGCTTTGGCCCTTCCACAGTGTGTCAGCAGCTCTCTCACCTGTGACTGGTGCATTGCCTTTTAGCAGCTTTAAATGGTAGATGCTAATGGCTTTGCAGCCTTGCAGTTCTCCCAGCAGGTTTCCATGCCTTATATTACTTTAAACACAAAGCACTTTGAAAACATACATAAATTAAGACTATAATTCCATCTCTAGTCTTTGGCATGTACTACTTGTCAACTTTTCAAACAGCAAATGGCTGATATAAAGCATTCCAGCAGGCTTGGCTCAGAGTATTCCTTCTCTCTGCTTCCCATTTAGGCTCTAGCCCTTCCATCTTTAATCCACCCATTGCTCTCTCCTTATCATATATTAACATCCTCAATTCTCAGTTCACTTTTCTTTTAGGTTTACATGCTAGCTCCCTCTTTTCTTCTTCTTCTTCTTCCTTTTTTTTTTTTTTTCTGACTCATGGCTTGGATGTCAGAGCTGTAACCAGCCACAATTGCAAACTGATGTCTTTTCATTTTACATACATATAGGGAAGAGGGCCAGGACACAGTTTTCTGGGTTAAGGATTTTGGGATCCTGAGCTCTGTTTTTGTTTTCATATTGTTGAAAGGGTAATGATAAACGTTTCATTGGTAACAAAAGTTTGAGGATCGAGAACTAAGAGAAATACAACAACAACAAAAACCTTGCTTGTCTGAGTATCCTTTGAGCTGATTATTTTCTCACCTGTAGCAGGGCCTATCACTGTAAAGTAAAAGAGTGAGTTTGGGAGCCCGAGAGAAAATCAGATGAAACTTAGTTCCATGGAAGAGCTTTAGTCACACTGAATATCTCAGATCCTTGCCAGCTTGTCCAACCCATGGCCCACTGGCCACACGTGGCCCAGGATGGCTTTGAATGCAGCCCAAACAAATTTGTAAACTTTCTTAAAACATTATGTGATTTTTTTGGTGTGATTCTTTTTGTTTTGTTTGCTCATCAGCTATCATCGGTGATAGTGTATTTTATGAGTGACCCAAGACAATTCTTCTCCTTCCAGTGTGGCCCAGGGAAACCAAAGATTGGACACCCCTGAAAAGCTCACTCAGTGGGAATTGATAGCTCCCAAGCAGCCAAGGCAGCTAGTAATGACATTTCATTCTGAAGTTCAGAAAAACCTCTATGAGTAAGCAATAATCTGAATTGCACACATCTCAGATTAAAATTTTTAATTGTATTGTTGCAGTCATATTGTAATATAGTCTTGCATTTAGGGGTCATTCCAATGACCACCAAAGACCTTTCAATGGTTCACTAATAATTTACTGAGTTTTGAATACTATCCCACTTAACACTACAAAATAACTAGTTATTTCTAATAAACAGGCCTGTGAGTGGTAAAACTACTCTTAATCCCATACAAAGTAAACTAAAAAATAAACAGCTTTACACTTTTTGGTTTCTAAAGCAAACCTAATGGAAAGGCCCCCTACTGCAAGCGTGAAACAGAAGGGAAATATTTTCATGTTCTTCTTAAAGAGAATCTGTTCCTTTCAAGATGAATCCTGAATCTTCCTAAAACCACTGGCTCTAAACAATGTTAGTTTGCCTGCCTGTCATCTAGCATGCTCTGAACCACACCCTTCTCACTTCATCTATAGCAGGAAGGATTAAGGCATAAGAGGTGTTTTCATAACCATTCAATATTGCTGGGGCCCTTTGGAAGCACTGTAGCTTCCTTGCCTGGGTGGCAGTGTTTATTCCCCCGACATAAGAGCATTCCCCAATGAACATCTCAAAATAATAAACATTCTGCTTTGCCATTTTTCCCCCTTCTGTTGGCTGTTTGTTGTTCCTAATTGCTAGCAGTGTTGCCACATAATGAAAATAAAAGCGTGTATTAGCAAGTTTCACTTCCATTCTGCAGGGATTTCATTCCACTTTAGTATTTTTTTAGACAATAAGTGAAGCAGACTTTCTGCTACTGCTGTGGCATTTTTAGTAGAGATTTAAGCATCTATTGAGGAAATAACTTCTAAACTCTTGCAGGATACCAATTTATGTACTTGTAGGTAGAATATTTTCTCAGCTACCACTCCTAATTTATTTGGCTTTTTCTTTTTCCTCAGAATAAAACCTTGTACATGGTATTATGTAGAGGATGAACACAATTCAAAAATTATGTCAACGTTATTGCTTATATAAGACAACACAAATTGCGTTCTTGTATTTTATATTTATAGTTAATTTTAAATCTTCTACATATTTTAATTCTTTCTAGACTGGTAGTACATTTCATGCAAAAAAGAAAGAAGCACAAATGTTTAATATTTCATTAACATGCTGAGTTTTTAAGGACTGAGGCTTTTGTAATGACTGTTAAACCAATCTAACAGTAGTTGGTTAACTGGATTACTTCGAGTAAAAATTTAAAAGGCTGTAAAGCAACTAGCCAGAAGTCTTATTCAACCATGAAATCAGAATTTTCTCAGCATTTGGTGCTTGGCCATCAATTATTTACGCTAAATTTACTTACCAAGTTCTCAAACCTAGTAGAGAAAATAAATAAAAATATCTAAAAATTAGTTTTTTTTTTTATTCAAAGCCACAGGATGTCTGCAAACCCTCTCCTTTGGTGTTGCTCTGGAATCATTTGAAAATTCTGAGAATATGGCTCACCTCTTCTTTTAATTTAACGATGTCAAAAAAAGATTCATTGGTGTTCTCACTTAATTAAAAAGTCCACACTTCTTAGAATTTTGAAGATAGATTAAAAATCTAGTTTCATCATTGTTACTATTAGAACACAAACCAAAAACATGCTTAAAAAAAAGCTAGGACCATAAGAGAGACGAAACTGTTTGTTAATGGTCCAATGCAAAACACAGAAAACAAACAAACAAAAAAACAGAATTAAGATTGATCCAAAGCCAGGACACAAAGTAAGGTAGTGAAATTTGTCTTGGGTGCCCTTTAGTGTCTCTCTTAATCACCCGTGTCTGTTCCTGCTCAAAGGTATTCTGGGGTAAGCTTAAAGGGTTTTTTTTTTTTCATGTTTTTGTTTTGTTTTGTTTTGTTTTTAATTTTAGAAGTTATTCGTTAAACATTAGGACGCCTTTAAACTCAACAGGAATAAATCCCTATTCTGGAGTTTGAGGCTCATAAAAGTAATAGAGGTGAAATTTGCAGCTGATGGGGCTTCTGGTGGCCCACAAGTCACGTTTCATAGCCATCTTCATATTCTTCTAACGCAGTGACATGAGGAGGCAGCAGGTGTCAGGACGGAGCATTAGAAGATTGAGGACTTTTTTCTACCCTCACCAGCTGTGAGAAGTTACAGAGAATAATGCTGTGAACTCTAGCTTTCTCATCTATGTGTTGTTAAGAACAATTCACATTCTGCTGACCTCACAGTGTTGTGAAGGTCAGGTTTACAATACACTTTGAAAATTAGAAGGCATTTTAGAAGTATAATGTGCTGTTATTGAATGGAGCATTTAAAGTTTGTATCCAAACCGTATGTTTTTACACTACATGTCTAATTAAACACGGGGGTTCTCTGTTTATATAAGAAGAAATGCCGTGAATTTTACCCTCAAAGTCCAGAGAAGGATTTTCCACTGGTCATCATTAACTGTATTAGGTTAACTCCCACTGAGACCCCTACTCTGTTCTTATTCCACTGAATCTCTGTTGATGATGGCAAGGCACCTCAAGCCTTGATTTTCTGTCTTCATATTTAATGTTGATACTGTTAAGTTCATTACAACAACCATCTGATCAATAGTGGCTTGAAGAAGCTGAGGATGTGTAGCTTGGAAAAGGGAAGACCAGGAAAATCAGGTAGAAATTATGGCTTGGGAGTTACTAGCTGTTTGAATTCCTACTACATAAAGATACTTAACTTATCTATAGTCCCCTCTAACTCACTAAATTGTATGTTCAACTTACAAAGAACATTTTCCTGAGGGCTACATTGACACTGACTGAAAGGTACCTCTTCAATTTGTAATTGATGATTAGGTATTTGCTTCCATATTTGTTCAAAGTCCCTTTGAGAAAAGCTAATATGGGGGGAGGAGCCAAGATGGCCGAATAGGAACAGCTCCGGTCTACAGCTCCCAGCTTGAGCGACGCAGAAGACGGGTGATTTCTGCATTTCCATCTGAGGTACTGGGTTCATCTCACTAGGGAGTGCCAGACAGTGGGCGCAGGCCAGTGGGTGCGCGCACCGTGCACGAGCCGAAGCAGGGCAAGGCATTGCCTCACCTGGGAAGTGCAAGGGGTCAGGGAGTTCCCTTTCCGAGTCAAAGAAAGGGGTGACGGACGCACCTGGAAAATCGGGTCACTCCCACCCGAATATTGCGCTTTTCAGACCGGCTTAAAAAACGGCGCACCACGAGACTATATCCCACACCTGGCTCGGAGGGTCCTACGCCCACGGAATCTCGCTGATTGCTAGCACAGCAGTCTGAGATCAAACTGCAAGGCGGCAGCGAGGCTGGGGGAGGGGCTCCCGCCATTGCCCAGGCTTGCTTAGGTAAACAAAGCAGCCGGGAAGCTCAAACTGGGTGGAGCCCACCACAGCTCAAGGAGGCCTGCCTGCCTCTATAGGCTCCACCTCTGGGGGCAGGGCACAGACAAACAAAAAGACAGCAGTAACCTCTGCAGACTTAAATGTCCCTGTCTGACAGCTTTGAAGAGAGCAGTGGTTCTCCCAGCACGCAGCTGGAGATCTGAGAACGGGCAGACTGCCTCCTCAAGTGGGTCCCTGACCCCTGACCCCCGAGCAGCCTAACTGGGAGGCACCCCCCAGCAGGGGCACACTGACACCTCACACGGCAGGGTATTCCAACAGACCTGAAGCTGAGGGTCCTGTCTGTTAGAAGGAAAACTAACAAACAGAAAGGACATCCACACCGAAAACCCATCTGTACATCACCATCATCAAAGACCAAAAGTAGATAAAACCACAAAGATGGGGAAAAAACAGAGCAGAAAAACTGGAAACTCTAAAACGCAGAGCGCCTCTCCTCCTCCAAAGGAACGCAGTTCCTCACCAGCAACGGAACAAAGCTGGATGGAGAAGGATTTTGACGAGCTGAGAGAGGAAGGCTTCAGACGATCAAATTACTCTGAGCTACGGGAGGACATTCAAACCAAAGGCAAAGAAGTTGAAAACTTTGAAAAAAATTTAGAAGAATGTATAACTAGAATAACCAATACAGAGAAGTGCTTAAAGGAGCTGATCGAGCTGAAAACCAAGGCTCGAGAACTACATGAAGAATGCAGAAGCCTCAGGAGCCGATGCGATCAACTGGAAGAAAGGGTATCAGCAATGGAAGATGAAATGAATGAAATGAAGCGAGAAGGGAAGTTTAGAGAAAAAAGAATAAAAAGAAATGAGCAAAGCCTCCAAGAAATATGGGACTATGTGAAAAGACCAAATCTACGTCTGACTGGTGTACCTGAAAGTGATGGGGAGAATGGAACCAAGTTGGAAAACACTCTGCAGGATATTATCCAGGAGAACTTCCCCAATCTAGCAAGGCAGGCCGACGTTCAGATTCAGGAAATACAGAGAACGCCACAAAGATACTCCTTGAGAACAGCAACTCCAAGATACATAATTGTCAGATTCACCAAAGTTGAAATGAAGGAAAAAATGTTAAGGGCAGCCAGAGAGAAAGGTCGGGTTACCCACAAAGGGAAGCCCATCAGACTAACAGCGGATCTCTCGGCAGAAACCCTACAAGCCAGAAGAGAGTGGGGGCCAATATTCAACATTCTTAAAGAAAAGAATTTTCAACCCAGAATTTCATATCCAGCCAAACTAAGCTTCATAAGTGAAGGAGAAATAAAATACTTTACAGACAAGCAATTGCTGAGAGATTTTGTCACCACCAGGCCTGCCCTAAAAGAGCTCCTGAAGGAAGCGCTAAACATGGAAAGGAACAACCAGTACCAGCCGCTGCAAAATCATGCCAAAATGTAAAGACCATCGAGACTAGGAAGAAACTGCATCAACTAACGAGCAAAATCACCAGCTAACATCATAATGACAGGATCAAATTCACACATAACAATATTAACTTTAAATATAAATGGACTAAATTCTCCAATAAAAGACACAGACTGGCAAGTTAGATAAAGAGTCAAGACCCATCAGTGTGCTGTATTCAGGAAACCCATCTCACGTGCAGAGACACACATAGGCTCAAAATAAAAGGATGGAGGAAGATCTACCAAGCCAATGGAAAACAAAAAAAGGCAGGGGTTGCAATCCTAGTCTCTGATAAAACAGACTTTAAACCAACAAAGATCAAAAGAGACAAGGCCATTACATAATGGTAAAGGGATCAATTCAACAAGAGGAGCTAACTATCCTAAATATATATGCATCCAATACAGGAGCACCCAGATTCATAAAGCAAGTCCTGAGTGACCTACAAAGAGACTTAGACTCCCACACAATAATAATCGGAGACTTTAACACCCCACTGTCAACATTATACAGATCAACGAGACAGAAAGTCAACAAGGATACCCAGGAATTGAACTCAGCTCTGCACCAAGCGGACCTAATAGACATCTACAGAACTCTCCACCCCAAATCAACAGAATATACATTTTTTTCAGCACCACACCACACCTATTCCAAAATTGACCACATAGTTGGAAGTAAAGCTCTCCTCAGAAAATGTAAAAGAACAGAAATTATAACAAACTATCTCTCAGACCACAGTGCAATCAAACTAGAACTCAGGATTAAGAATCTCACTCAAAGCCGCTCAACTACATGGAAACTGAACAACCTGCTCCTGAATGACTACTGGGTACATAACGAAATGAAGGCAGAAATAAAGATGTACTTTGAAACCAACGAGAACAAAGACACAACATACCAGAATCTCTGGGACGCATTCAAAGCAGTGTGTAGAGGGAAATTTATAGCACTAAATGCCCACAAGAGAAAGCAGGAAAGATCCAAAATTGACACCCTAACATCACAATTAAAAGAACTAGAAAAGCAAGAGCAAACACATTCAAAAGCTAGCAGAAGGCAAGAAATAACTAAAATCGGAGCAGAACTGAAGGAAATAGAGACACAAAAAACCCTTCAAAAAATCAATGAATCCAGGAGCTGGTTTTTTGAAAGGATCAACAAAATTGATAGACCGCTAACAAGACTAATAAAGAAAAAAAGAAGAATCAAATAGACACAATAAAAAATGATAAAGGGGATATCACCACCGATCCCACAGAAATACAAACTATCATCAGAGAATACTACAAACACCTCTGTGCAAATAAACTAGAAAATCTAGAAGAAACGGATACATTCCTTGACACATACACTCTCCCAAGACTAAACCAGGAAGAAGTTGAATCTCTGAATGGACCAATAACAGGAGCTGAAATTGTGGCAATAATCAATAGTTTACCAACCAAAAAGAGTCCAGGACCAGATGGATTCACAGCCGAATTCTACCAGAGGTACAAGGAGGAAATGGTACCATTCCTTCTGAAACTATTCCAATCAATAGAAAAAGAGGGAATCCTCCCTAACTCATTTTATGAGGCCAGCATCATTCTGATACCAAAGCCGGGCAGAGACACAACCAAAAGAGAGAATTTAGAACAATATCCTTGATGAACATTGATGCAAAAATCCTCAATAAAATACTGGCAAACCGAATCCAGCAGCACATCAAAAAGCTTATCCACCATGATCAAGTGGGCTTCATCCCTGGGATGCAAGGCTGGTTCAATATACGCAAATCAATAAATGTAATCCAGCATATAAACAGAGCCAAAGACAAAAACCACATGATTATCTCAATAGATGCAGAAAAAGCCTTTGACAAAATTCAACAACCCTTCATGCTAAAAACTCTCAATAAATTAGGTATTGATGGGACATATTTCAAAATCATAAGAGCTATCTATGACAAACCCACAGCCAATATCATACTGAATGGGCAAAAACTGGAAGCATTCCCTTTGAAAACGGGCACAAGACAGGGATGCCCTCTCTCACCGCTCCTATTCAACATAGTGTTGGAAGTTCTGGCCAGGGAAATCAGGCAGGAGAAGGAAATAAAGGGTATTCAATTAGGAAAAGAGGAAGTCAAATTGTCCCTGTTTGCAGACGACATGATTGTTTATCTAGAAAACCCCATCGTCTCAGCCCAAAATCTCCTTAAGCTGATAAGCAACTTCAGCAAAGTCTCAGGATACAATATCAATGTACAAAAATCACAAGCATTCCTATACACCAACAACAAACAAACAGAGAGCCAAATCATGAGTGAACTCCCATTCACAATTGCTTCAAAGGGAATAAAATACCTAGGAATCCAACTTACAAGGGATGTGAAGGACCTCTTCAAGGAGAACTACAAACCACTGCTCAAGGAAATAAAAGAGGATACAAACAAATGCAAGAACATTCCACGCTCATGGGTAGGAAGAATCAATATCGTGAAAATGGCCATACTGCCCAAGGTAATTTACAGATTCAATGCCATCCCCATCAAGCTACCAATGACTTTCTTCACAGAATTGAAAAAAACTACTTTAAAGTTCATATGGAACCAAAAAAGAGCCCGCATCGCCAAGTCAATCCTAAGCCAAAAGAACAAAGCTGGAGGCATCACACTACCTGACTTCAAACTATACTACAAGGCTACTGTAACCAAAACAGCATGGTACTGGTACCAAAACAGACATATAGATCAATGGAACAGAACAGAGCCCTCAGAAATAACGCCACATACCTACAACTATCTGATCTTTGACAAACCGGAGAAAAACAAGCAATGGGGAAAGGATTCCCTATTTAATAAATGGTGCTGGGAAAACTGGCTAGCCATATGTAGAAAGCTGAAACTGGATCCTTTCCTTACACCTTATACAAAAATCAATTCAAGATGGATTAAAGACTTAAACGTTAGACCTAAAACCATAAAAACCCTAGAAGAAAACCTAGGCATTACCATTCAGGACATAGGCGTGGGCAAGGACTTCATGTCCAAAACACCAAAAGCAATGGCAACCAAAGCCAAAATTGACAAATGGGATCTAATTAAACTAAAGAGCTTCTGCACAGCAAAAGAAACTACCATCAGAGTGAACAGGCAACCTACAACATGGGAGAAAATTTTCACAACCTACTCATCTGACAAAGGGCTAATATCCAGAATCTACAATGAACTCAAACAAATTTACAAGAAAAAAACAAACAACCCCATCAAAAAGTGGGCGAGGGACATGAACAGACACTTCTCAAAAGAAGACATTTATGCAGCCAAAAAACACATGAAAAAATGCTCATCATCACTGGCCATCAGAGAAATGCAAATCAAAACCACTATGAGATATCATCTCACACCAGTTAGAATGGCAATCATTAAAAAGTCAGGAAACAACAGGTGCTGGAGAGGATGTGGAGAAACAGGAACACTTTTACACTGTTGGTGGGACTGGAAACTAGTTCAACCATTGTGGAAGTCAGTGTGGCCATTCCTCAGGGATCTAGAACTAGAAATACCATTTGACCCAGCCATCCCATTACTGGGTATATACCCAAATGACTATAAATCATGCTGCTATAGAGACACATGCACACGTATGTTTATTGCAGCATTATTCACAATAGCAAAGACTTGGAACCAACCCAAATGTCCAACAATGATAGACTGGATTAAGAAAATGTGGCACATATACACCATGGAATACTATGCAGCCATAAAAAATGATGAGTTCATGTCCTTTGTAGGGACATGGATGAAATTGGAAACCATCATTCTCAGTAAACTATCGCAAGAACAAAAAACCAAACACCGCATATTCTCCCTCATAGGTGGGAATTGAACAATGAGATCACATGGACACAGGAAGGGGAATATCACACTCTGGGGACTGTGGTGTGGAGGGGAGAGGGGGGAGGGATAGCATTGGGAGATATACCTAATGCTAGATGACGAGTTAGTGGGTGCAGCGCACCAGCATGGCACATGTATACATATGTAACTAACCTGCACAATGTGCACATGTACCCTAAAACTTAAAGTATAATTAAAAAAAAATAATAATAATAGTAATAATAAAAAAAAAGAAAAAAGCTAATATGACTAAGATGCAGTAGTTCTTTTTAAAGTCCAAAATAATATAAAATAATGGGAAGCTTTTAAATGATAAATGGATAGGGAATAGCTGAGAAAATTTTAAGAAGATTTTTTGGAAAAATGTAAAGTTTATGATATTCTACCCCATAGTGTCCAAAAATCTGGTCCCATGCCACCAGCTTCACAGATGCTACTTTTGAGGAAGATGGATGCTACTGGCAGCTGGTTCCAGAAATATAATTTGAAACTTTAATTGGCATTCCTAATGTGCAGCACAGCTTAATCATATGAAAAAAGAAGTGTTTTGTGCTGAATGTTTAAATGATCTTTTCCCCCTCTTTGTGAAATAAATTATAAAACATTCTTTACACTATCTTTTGTGTGTGTATACAGTTATCTTAATTAGTATAATAATTTTTAAATTATGCTTTTAATATTTTTTCGTATGAAGTGTTACTAGGAAATCCATAGAGTAGCTCTTTCTTCTTTAACAACAATATTTGATTATTATGTAAGTTATTATTCTGTTGATGAGTATTTTAATGCCAACATAATCTTAAAGTAGAGACTTCTGAAAAAAATTTAACATTTTAATGTATATTTGGAATGGCTTTTATAGTCCTTTCTAGAGGTACAAATACACATATTCACATGCATATACAGAAAAATTACAGAAATGTGGTAGACATCACTATATAAATGAACTTTACATATTAGTTATTCAAAATTATAATTTGAGACATTTGGAAAAGTTTAATTTGAATGATTGACTGAAATGTTAAGTCAACGCTGTCTTTAGTAACTCTCATAGATGTGACTCGTGTCTTTTTTAAAAAAAATGCAAGTTTTTTTTCATGTGGAATCAGTACCTTAGGTTAATGTTTCTTTAACCATTCCTTCATGTAGCCATAATTTGAAAGTAATAAAATATGACTTTGTGAGGCACATTTTAATAAAATTCCTGCAAAGTAAATTTGATAAAATGTACTCCATTCTAGGTGTTGATAGGCAAATAAAACGCTTTCAGACAATGAATGCCTAAACTTCTACCTGCTTATTTTCCACATAAGAAATCTCTTTATTTTAAAGATATGTACGAATAAACCACGTCATTTGGCTCATGTACCATTTTTTCCTTGTTAAGAAACACGTATGGCCGGGTGCGGTGGCTCATGCCTGTAATCTCAGCACTTTGGGAGGCCGAGGGGGCGGATCACAAGGTCAGGAGATCAAGACCATCCTGGCTAACACGGTGAAACCCTGTCTCTCCTAAAAATACAAAAAATTAGCCGGGTGTGGTGGCGGGCACCTGTAGTCCCAGCTACTCAGGAGGCTGAGGCGGGAGAATGGTGTGAACCCGGAAGACAGAGCTTGCAGTGAGCCGAAATTGTGCCACTGCACTCCAGCCTGGACAACAGAGCGAGACTCCATCTCAAAAAAAAAAAAAAAAACAAAAAAAAAACCACACATATTAGGTTGCTAGCCTGTTTCCTATTCAAAGAGAGTATCAGTAAACCATTGGGTCCAAACTGCTGATCTGAAATCACACAATCATAACTTCACACAGTAATATTGAAACCTGTAAAACATTAATTACTATATAATTTTCAGTTATTGGATGTAGACTTTCAAGCTTACCTTTTTTGGAAAGCTGTAGTTAAAAATAACATAATCAAGGTGTTTCTGATTTCTCACATAATATATTGGTTTTGCCTGTTTGGGAGCTTTGCCTGAATAGAATTGTTTAGTGTGGTTTCTGGTCTATTTTGCTTAACAAAAGGTTTGTGAGATTTGTCCACATTTTTGTTTGTAGTTGTACATCATTCATTCTCATTGTTGTATATTTCATTTTGTTAAGAGGCCACAATTTATCCATTCTACTGTTGATGCATTTGGTACTTTTTTTTATTCTTTTCTATAATAAATAGTGCTTTCATGAACGTTCAAGTGTACACATTTCTGTTAGAATTGGAATGAAGTAGATCTGCTGTATCATACAGTGTATAACTGGTCATCTTTAGTAGCAACTGTCAAAGAGTCTTGTAAAGTGACTTTACCAATTGCCATCCATACGACTCATCTATAAGAGTTCTAGTTGGTCTATAGCCTAACACTGGATATTTTCTCCATTTTCTATTTTAGCTATATTTTGGGTGTATAAAACAATCACCTGTGATTTCACCTTATGTTTCTTAATAACTAATGAAGTCAAGCACTTTTTTTCTTTTTTTTTTAACTTTTACTTTAAGTTCTGGGATAAATGTGCTGAACATGTAGGTTTGTTACATAGGTATACATGTGCCACAGTGGTTTGCTGAGCCAATCAACCCGTCATTCAGGTTTTAAGCCCGTATGCATTAGGTATTTGTCCTAATGCTCTCCCTCCACTTTCCCCTTACCCACTGACAGGTCCCTGGTGTGATGTTCCCCTCCCTGTGTCCATGTGTTTGCATTGTTCAGCTCCCACTTATGAGTGAGAACATGTGGTGTTTGGTTTTCTGTTCCTGTGTTAGTTTGCTGAGGATGATGGCTTCCAGCTTCATCCATGTCTCTGCAAAGGAGATGAACTCATTCTTTTTTATGGCTGCATAGTATTCCATGGTGTGTATGTGCCACATTTTCTTTATTCAGTCTATTATTGATGGCCATTTGGGTTGGTTCTAAATCCTTGCTCTTCTAGATACTGCTGCAATAAACATACGTGTGCATATGTCTGCATAGTAGAATGTTTTATACTCCTTTGAGTATATACCCAGTAATGGGATTGCTGAGTCAAATGGTATTTCTGGTTCTAGATCCTTGAGGAATCACCACACTGTCTTCCACAATGGTTGAACTAATTTACACTCCCACCAACAGTGTAAAAGTGTTCCTATTTCTCAACATCCTCTCCAGCATCTGTTGTTTCCTGACTTTTTTAAAGAAGTTATTTGAAACCAATGAGAACAAAGAGACAATGTATCAGAATCTCTGGAACACAGCAAAAACAGTGTTAGGAGGGAAATTTGTAGCGCTAAATGCCCATATCAGAAAGCTAGAAAGATCACAAATCGACACCCTGAAATCACAATTAAAAGAACTAGAGAAACAAGAGAAAACAAATCCAAAAGCTAGCAGAAGACAAGAAATAAGTAAGATCAGAGCAGAACTGAAGGAGCTAGAGACACGAAAAACCCTTCAAAAAATCAATGAATCCAGGAGCTGGTGTTTTGAAGATTAACAAAATAGATCACTAGTCAGACTAATAAAGAAGAAAAGAGAGAAGAATCAAATAGACACAATAATAGTGATAAAGGGGATATCACCACTGATCCCACAGAAATACAAACTACCATCAGAGAATACTATAAACACCTCTATGCAAGTAAACTAGAAAATCTAGAAGAAATTGATAAATTCCTGGACACATTCACCCTCCCAAGACTGAACCAGGAAGAAGTCAAATCCCTGAATAGACCAATAACAAGTTATGAAATTGAGGCAGTAATTAATAGTGTATCAACCAAAAAAAGCCCAGGACCAGACAGATTCATAGCTGAATTCTATCAGAGGTACAAAGAAGAGCTGGTACCATTCCTTCTGAAACTGTTCTCCGCAATAGAAAAAGAAGGACTACTCCCTAACTCATAGCCAATATCATACTGAATGGGCGAAAGCTGGAAGCATTCCCTTTGAAAACCAGCTCATTTAGATGTCTTCTTATGTAGAGTATCTTTAAAACCCTTTTTCCATTGGATTTCTGACTTCTGTTGATTTGAAAATTATTTGGATATTTTAGATATGAAAAAATGTCTTTTCAGATGTACATATTTTTAATATATTTTTTCTTCTGTGGATTAAATGTTCAGTCTCTTAATGCTATACGTTAACAAACACAGGCTTTTAATTTTAATATAGTTTAATTTATCATTTTAAAAAAATTAAGGTTACTGATTATTGTGTCATCTTAAGAAATACTTGCCTATTCCATCACAAAGTTACTGTGCTGTGTTTTTTAATAAAAGCTTTCTACTGTTACTTTTGTATTTATATCTGTAATCCCTCTGGAGTCAATTTTGATGTAAGGGTTCGAGTCAAAATTTACTTTGCCCACTTTCACTATTCCTATTTAACATAGTACTGGAAGTCCTAGGTAGAGCAATTAAAGAGGAGAAAATGTAAAAGTCATCCAGATAGAAAAAAGAGGAAGTATTCTGCTGACATGATCTTATACCTAAAAAATCCTAAAGAGTCATCCAAAAGATAACTAGATGTGATAAATGACTTTAGTAAAGCTTCAGTATGCAAACCAGTATTCAAAAATCAGTAGCAATTGTATACACCAAAAACAATCAAGCTGAGAACCAAATTAAGAACCCATTTACAATAGCTACAAAAATAGTAAAATATCCAGAAAGAGAACCACAAAACACTGATGAACGAAATTATAGATGACACAAATACATGCAAAAAAAAAATCCCATGTTCGTGGAATGGGAGAATCAATATTGTTAAAATAACCACACTGCCCAAAGCAATCTACAGATTCAGTGCAACACCTATCAAATTACCAATGTCATTTTTCCCATGATTAGACAAAACAATTCTAAAATTCATATGGAACCAGAAAAAAAAAGTCTGAATCATCAAAACAATCTTAAGCAGAAACAGCAAAGTGGGAGGCATCACATTACCTGACTTCAAATTATACTACAAGACTATAGTACCGAAAGAGCATGGTACTGGTTTAAAAATAGATACATAGATCAATTGCAGAGTAGGGAAACTAGAAATAAAGCCACACATCTACAACCAACTGATTTTTGACAAAATTGACAAAATAATACAAATATAACTGGAGAAAGGACACTCTATTCAATAATTGGTACTAGAAAAATTGGATAGCTATAAGTAGAAGACTGAACTGCTTTCTGTCACCATATACAAAAATCAACTCAAATGAATTAACAAGTTAAATATAAGACTTGAAACTTTAAAGGTCCTATAGGAAATCACAGGGATAATTTATGACTAAGATCTCAAAAGCAAATGTAACGAAATAGACAAATGGGATTTAATTAAAAAGCTTCTTCACAACAAAAGAAATTATCAACAAATAAACATACAATCTACAGAAGGGATAAAATATTTGTAAACTATGCATTTGAAAAAGAACTGCTATCCAGAATCTACAGGGAACTCAAACAACTCAAGAAGAAAAAAAAATAAGCCCATTAAAAAGTTGGCAAAAAACATAAACACACATTTCTCAAAAGAAGACATACAAGTGACTAACAAATAAAAATGCTCACCATCACTAATCATCGAAGAAATGTAAATTAAAACCACAGTGAGATATTATCTTACACCAGTCTGAATGACTATTATTAAAAAGTCAAAAGACAACAGATGTTGATGGGGATTCAGAGAAAAGGGCACTGTTATACACTGTTGGTGAGAATGTAAATTATAATATATCTCCTGCATTCACACATTTATTGCAGTACTATTCTCAATAGCAAAGTCATGAAGTCAACCCAGATGTCCATTATTAGATGATTGGATAAATAAACTATTATATATATATATGTGTGTGTGTGTGTCTGTATATGTTTGTGTGTGTGTGAATGTCATATATATGACATATATGTGTGTCATTTATATTTCACATATGTGATGTATTATATAAAACATATTGTCATATATATGTTGCCTTTTGCAGCAACATGGATGAAACTGGAGGCCATAATCCCAAATACAATAACTCAGAAAATCAAATACTACATGTTCTCATGTATAAGTGGAAGCTAAGTGATGTGTACACGTGGACATATAGAGTGGAATAATAGATATCAGAGATTGCAAAAAGTGGGACGTGGGTGAGGGATGAGAAATTATCTACTGGGTACAATGTACACCATTTGGATGATGAGTACACTAAAAGCCTAGACTTTACCACTGCACGATATGTCTTTGTAGCAAAACTGTACTTGTACACCCTGAATCTATTACTGATAATATAATAATAATGTGTAGTGTCCATGGCTCCATTAACTTACTCATTTTGCCATGTCCTCATCCAACAGTGAAGCAGGATATTACTGATGCATATTACATGACACAGGACTATAAATATAGGATTCAAACTTTACTTGTAGGAGGCATTGGTTGATTAAATATACTTTTTAGATAAGTATTAATTGTTATTGCAAAACTAAGGTTTCAAGCGAAAAATTGGCATAGGAAATATTTTATATTTGCCAATTTTATATTTTGACATCTTTTTTTTTCTGCAGTGCAGAGCTGCTATAAACTATTGAGAAAGACGCTCTCTAAATAAAACTAGAGAACAGATCCTTGCCAGATATAAGACTAAATGCAGACAAGTGTTTTGTGTTGTTTTGTTTGTTTTATATAAAGTAACGGGTTCTACTGTGGTATGTAGCACAAAGACTGATGCTCCGAGAGCTTATAAATAGTGATAAAGTCATGTGTTGCTTTTTTGAAATAAATAGAATGCTCTCTTTTTTCATTTTAGAAAAAGGAACTACATTGTGAGTTTTTGAATTATCTGATACTCTACAGGAGACATACAATGAGTAGCAGATCTCAGAAAATTTATCATTCAGAAAGATTTTCTGGACTAAAACTATCATTAGGTTATATGTAAATTTAGATAAATTTATATATCCTAAATCCATAGTAGGTCATTAAGTGGGGTTCGAGGATACATCTCTAACTTTTTGAGATGGGTCTCACAGAAAACAAATGATACCTTCTTGTTTCAGTGTCTTTTGAGTTCACATTTAGTAGTTTTGAATCATTTGCCTAACTGATGTGATTTAGTATTTGCCTAATTCGTGAGCATGTGAGTGTAGAGTACTAACAATATTAAAAGAATATGAACAGAACATTATATATTATAATTTTGTTTGGGATCAGTTACCACCACAGTTGATTCTCATATGTGGTTAATGAGGCAGAGGGCATGGATTTAATTTTTGGAGAGACCAGATAGTTTTTGTACTGTAATATAACAATGAACTCTACCCTAGCACCTTTAAGACTTAAAAATGTGTACAACGGCTGAATCAAGGTCAAGACCCTTGTAGGAAGGTAAAAATGTGTCTGTTATACTATGCATATAATTTCAAGTATAAACAGATGAGAACATATTCATGTAAGTTGAAGAATCTGCAAATGAGTATTAAAATATGTACAGAAACTATGATTGCTTATCCAAGTATTGTCTTATGAACTAACCCAACTCTGATTATTTTTTAGGTAACAAGTTGGAAGACTTTGGATCTCAAGAAAAGTGGATTTTGCCTCTACCGTAGAGATAGGTATGTGATCCAATACTAGCCAATAAAATATAAGGAAATATTTGTTAGTAGGAACTTATAGGATGTCTTGATTTGTAATAAAAATAGAAAGACAGAGAAGAACCGCTTACTCTCCTAGCTTTTCTTCCTGCCTTTGAAGGTAGTTGTGTTTCTTTTGAGTTGAAATAGCCATATTGCAAACATGAGGCAACATATCTAAGGATAAAAATTCAACATGTAAAAATGTCAGAGTGGAAGAGTAGAAAGAAGATCTTGATGAATCATTGAGAAGATAAGCTAATGTCAACTACTACTTACCTTCGTATTTCTTGTAATGCAAGGAAAAATAAACCCTTGTTTGTTTGTTTGAAAAACAAACCCATGTGCTTGTTATTATGGGTGAAAGTATTTCTACCAAACAAAACATTAGCACAGTTGGGCTATAGATAATCTCAGTTCTTCATTTATCATGTGTCCATCGACGTAGATTAGAAAATGGAAAAAATTAAGCTACTGAAGTTAGCCTGCCCTTCATGTGTTCTGAAAACTTCAAGATGGCAGGGTCTGTATTTGTTTATTCATATGCAGCTACTAACACAGTTCCTTAAAGCTTCAATAAATATATGTAGAATGATTTTCTTTGTGCCATAGTGAGAAAAATCAGTTGGATACAGCCCCTCTTTTTCCTAATTGTCTCTCCCAATACCCCCATGCACACATATTTGCACATTCATCCTGCCATGTTTCATGATGAACTCTCTATAAAAGGGCTATTTCCTGCAACCTTGCAATTCTGCCCTTTTTAGCAAAGACTTTTAGAATGAATGTTATTAGATCTTAAAGTGGCTTCCTCTCCGTGTAAGGCATTTAAAGCTGCTATTGGGCAAATGGTTATTGGCAGTAACGTGATGGTGGAAAGTGGAAGCCACTGCAGGCATGTAGTGGTAGTATTCATTTCACAGCAGGTGAGCATGTGGAGTAAGACTTAATCTAAGTCAAATAATTTTGAATAAAGCAACAGTATGAACTCACAGCCTTTAGTGGATTTTCCAGCAGACCGTCCTTTTAAAACATCTAAATCCCCTCTGCTATGCAACAGTGTTCTTTCAGATTGCTGAATTCGTCTTAGAGCCATCCCCTTTTTATTTCTTCAATGTCTACATTGTCTTTCTCAGGAAAGCAGTCAGGTTGCTTGATTGTCTTAGAAACATTGGTACAGTTCAGGACCGTGTTGGTGTTCTATTTCATTGGTGAAATCATCATGTCAGGTGACTGCCCTAAGGTCAGAAGCCATGTTCCATGCAACTCAATTAAGTTTTCTGGCTTCTGGTGGCCCCCGTGAACACTCAAAGGTGCTTGTTTTTCATGTTGCACTTTGAGGTCCTCTCTTCTGCACTGTAAGACATTGACCAGAAGAGGTTTTGCTTTTCAGTTTTCATGTGTTATAATGAATACATTTGTTTTGCCCTTTTCTCTCATGTGTGAACTCTTCCTGATAGTATTTACTAGGTAAATCATAGCTTGCAGTGGAAAAACAAAGAGGCAGTCACCTGAATTGTAATTGTTTTGACTTATTGACTTACCAAAACACAGATCTGATAAGTCTAATCTGAATTTAGTGTAGGCAAACAAGAATGGAGTGGAATCTGAAGAAACATAAACAAGGGATCAGGGATAAATTTGCATACAGAAGCAGCCTTCTTAAACTGCAGGCCCTCTAGTTATTCAGTGTTATGCATTTATATTAGATTGGTACAAACGTAATTGCAGGTTTGCCATTAAAATTAATAATAATATTTTCGATTGGCTGCAAAAGGGATGGATTCTGCCCTGTAAGTCAGAGCTACTTTTCCTTTTAGGAGAAGCAATGTGGCTTAAACCTGCATGGCACTGATTCCTCCCTAGACTGTGACTCTAGATGCAAGTGTATCCTGTGCTACTTTTGAAGTCAGAAATTATATTCTGATTACGCTGACATTTTTTGGCCTAATTCGTAGTTGAACATCTTGAGATGTAAGTTTTATTATTTTCCCATAATTGTTGGCATTCTGTTTTTAACTGGAAATACCAGCTTTTGCATTTTGGAGAGTAACCTCCTAGAGGGCCAAAATCAAAATGTAGAGCTGTCTTTTCTCTTGCACCTACCTGAGTACCTGACAACGTAGCCTTGAACCGTGACAACTCCTTCAACACCTGTAGCTTCCTGGCTGCCAGACAAAGTGAAAGAACCACTGCTTGATATTACCTAGGACAAAACATAAGTCACAGCTGCAGGGCTTCCACTCTGCAGTGTTCCATGCCTTGTTTGGAGCTGCATTTCTAAATTTTTATTTTCAGAGAGTTTAATTAATATACATGGGCATGCTCTACCTGATTTTATTTCTGAGAGCCGGTCTTGTTCAACTGAATTTTTAAAGTAAAAGAACTTTGAATTTTGTCTCTAGGGCTTACTATTTTGTTTTTTTAATGGTTTTAGTTTGTTGTTCAGCAGAGAGTATATACTTTTCCCCCCAAGATTTCATGCATCAAAGGCATTAAGTTGTCACTACATAGATTATAGTGAGTGACACACAAAATAAGCTGCCTTTTTAAGGGGTTGCAATGAAAAATAGGTAAAGTTGATATTACTGAAAAAAATTGTAAATATTCTTTTTAGCATGTTATGATGATACTGCTAGGCCATCTTGATATGGACAGGCACAATGAATTTGCTTTTGTAATAACTATGGTAAGATGACCACCATAATTCCACAGATCTTGCTCAGGCTTCCCCAGTTGTCCTAACAAGGGTCTTTATAGGTAACAGATCCAATCCTGGATCATGTGCCACATTCCGTTGTCATATTTGTTGAGGCTCCTTCAATCTAGAAGGTATTCCCAGTCCTCATTGACATTTAAGATCCCATTGTTTCACAGAGCAATAATTTTGCAGAATATCCCTCAACCTGGTTTGTCTGCTTTCCAGGATTAGATTTGGGCCATTTATTTTGGACAGGAATGTCACAGAAGTGATGCTGTGTTCATTCCGTTGCTTTCTACCAGGTAGTGCATGATTTAAATTTGTCCCATTACTGGTGATGTTAACTCTGATCACTGATCACTTGATTTAAGTTGGTAGTTACCAAGTTTATCGTCTGTAAGATTATTCTTTCCCTCTTTGGAATAAATGTTTTGTGAAAGGGTACTTTGAAACTATGTAAACATTCCATGCCTTATCAAACTTTCATCTACTAATTCCAGCATCAGATAATGTTTTTTAGTCGAAACAACAATCACCATGACAGTTGCCAAATGATGATGATTCTTCATTTCCCTCATCATTTCTTCTACATTTCTTCAGTTGGCACTCCATCCATCATAGATAAAAGCTTTGCTTCCTCTGCATTTATTTATTAACACATTCATTTAAATCAGCCTGCACTCATGGATTCTCACTCTACTCCATGGATTTTAGTCTGTTGCTACTGTTATTTTGATGTCCAAATTATCTCATATTTTGGCCAATGGGAGCCCTTCAGGATAGCTCCTGTGTCCTTTTGACATGCTGCTTCAATCTTTAAGATGTTGCAAGTTCACCTGTGGTTTCCCTACTTCCCCAATGTAATCAAGTATTTCTTCCTCTCAAGAACATTGGTTCCTTTTAATAGTGAATTCTGTTTCAGAACAAAGATCTGGGCACTAGATGTGTTTATTGTTATTGGTATATTGCAGTTCCTTGTGCCCTGTCAATGCACCAAACTTAAGAACATGTATATGTTCATGTATATTAGCACCCAAACATCCACATTTTCGTACGTATTTCTCTATATCATTCTCTATCTATCTATCTATCATTTATCCATCTATTTCTCTATCATCTATTGTTAAAACTTTAGGTTCACACTGACACATCCAAGTTGAACCTAACACTAGAGGGTTCATTTTACATTTTACCTTCCCAGGTATTCTTGTTTCTTCCTTCCTTCTTTGACATTATCTTCAGTCTATTTTCATTTTCTTCAGTCTCCCTGCATACAACCTAGCTCCTGTGACTGGCTGCCACCACCACCCACCCCTGCCAAATGGATGCCCTCCTCATGTGGCCACCCACTCCGAGTGCAGTTTCTCTTTTCCATCAACCTCTGACATTCTATGCAGAATTGCTTCTGCCTTTCCCACTGCCACCATCACTCTTCTGGGAGGGCAGTCCTCTGCAAGCCCACTTGGGATCCAATATTCTATGTTGTTCTATCATCGGGCTGGCACACATATCCACTTCATCCTGTTTATGTTCCAGCAGTCCACACTGGGCCATGCTGGGCCTTTCAAGCATGCGTGCCTGGTGGCTTATGAACCTAATTATTCAGGGAGGAAGAAAGGAGCACAGACAGGCAGAAAGGGAGAAAGGGTAATAGGAAGAAAGAGAATTTTAAATGATCAGGAAAGTCAGAACCTAAGAGGTCCTTATGAAAGTGTTATTATATTTTTTAATGGTTCGATTTTGAGGGTTTTTTACTCTTGTTTTCTCTACTCTTATTACCTTTGTTCAAATATGCTGTTTTTCAGCCTGTCTTGTATATATTTATTGGAATTGTGGTTTTTTTTCAATGTTTTTTATTTTGGTGGCCTCGTGTATTATCAATTTTTGGACATTCCTTATGTTATTTTTAAAATAAAGCACATTTTTTATTTTCATTGTGTAACATATATAAATATCTCCTAGGTTGCATACATTCATTATAATATCCAGATTTTCTTCTTCCTTACTTATGTTTATCTACCCTATTTTTAAAAACTTAGGAAATGTATCAAAGTCTTCCTTACATAACAATTCTATTTCGATATCTCCTTCATCGTCTCGTAGTTTTGTTTCATATATCATGAAAAGATATTATTTAGCACATAAAGTTCCAAGAGAGTTTAGCATAGTGTTTAAGAGCAGAAAACAGGACTCAGACTTACCTATTGTGTTACTTAAACTACAGTTTCCTCACCTGTAAAATAATTATAATTACCTCATGGGTTTTTTATTTGTATCCAATTGCTGTAAAGTTCCTAGAATAATGTCCAAGTTCTAATATAGGCTACTTAAGTTCTATTATAGAAATAAATGTAAGTGATATGTTTATGGGAATTATATATTTAACAAATATACCAAACCATGTTAATCATTTGCTGGTCTACTTAATATAGTCTATCTTGTGTTTAACTATATCTAATGTTAACCTTTCTATCTCTCTTGCTCTGTTTTGTTTTGCTCTTGGTTTTCATTTTTCCAGTATTTCTGCAAATATTTTTATTTTTCTGAATCTTTTTTTCTCTTACTTAGAACATTATGTGAGTTTGTTTATTAATCATATTAAACTCCTTGCTTTTAATACATGAATTGAATATACCTGTGCTTATTTTTATAACAAAATTTGAACTATTTTCATTGTAATTTACAGTTTCTGTTTTTATTCTTACTAGCTCTTTCTTTCTATTTCAACCTTTTACTACATTTTCCATGTTTTATTGAAAGTAGCTCCGTGCTCCCCATGTCCCAACATGGAAATTTGAAAGTTGTATAGTTCACTTCTGTTAATCTCATGATTACTTTTAAAGCCTTACATATTTGGGTGTAAACTTACACTTTTTATTTAGCAACTTCTGAAATGTTGCCTCCCTTACGAACTATTTAAAAACTTAATTTGTATTTCTTCCTACTTTCTCTGTCTGTGCCACCTCTGATTTCTTCACAATAGACAATGAGCTTTTTGTTTCACTCTCTTAGTATTGCTCTTTTATTTACATTGGTTTATGCTTTTCAAAAATTGTAGTATGTATATGTTATTTTACAATTAAAATGTAAAAAATATGATATCTACACAACTTCCTTCTTTCTGTGGTTGAATTATGTCTTTGAGTTGATTTTTTAGGACAAACACATATGCAATAGAGTTTTTGGACTCTTTAATATTTGAGCATTTGTATCTACTTCCTATACATGTTATAATAAATTTATCTTAGTATACAATCCTGGAGTCACCCACTACCCTCAAAACATTATAGAAATTGTTCCATTGTCTTCTTTTTCCTTCAGTTTTTTTATTATAAAAATGTCCATATGTAGAGCCAAGTCAAAAGAATTTTACAATGAACACCCCAAAACTAACCACTTAGCTTCTACCATTAGCACTTTACCATCTGTGCGTGATCACACATGCATCCATCTATACATCTGTGTATCTATTCATTCATCCATTTTATTTTGGGATGCTTTTGAAATAAATTGAATGTAATAGTACATTTCTCCCTCCAAATACTTCACATTTATATAACTAACTGGACTCTAATGTGTTTATAACTTTTAAATCAATAAATTACATTCAATGAAATGTATAAATCTTAAATCCATATTTGCAACATTTTGGCAAATGGATTTATCTGTGTAACCCGACCTCCTCTATAGAGACAGATTACTATTACCATCACAAAGAGTTCCCTAATACCTCTCCCAAGTAAATTCACATCCTAGTTCCCTAAGTTAATAATTAACAACTGCTTTTTTTGTATCAATATATATTAATTCTGTATTTTTAGATTCCGTAAAAAATGGAATTATATACTCTGTATTCTTGTGTGCAAGGTTTTCTTCATTTTCCATACTTTGAAGATGCAGCTAGTTATGAGTATTACTATATGCTTTCATCTTTGGTCTTCTTGAATTAGATTTTTGTTTTATTTATTTATTTATTTATTATTTTTTAATGTATTTATTTTTATTTATTTATTATTTTATTTATTTATTCATTATTTTATTTATTTATTTATTTATTAAAAATGAGATTTTATTTATTATTTTATTTTATTTTATTTTTATTATTTAATCTTTAAATAATGTATGTTACATTAATTGATTTATCAATGTTATCACATAAACTTACTTTGGATACATTTTACTTGATCATGTATCCATGTATGTTGCTCATTTTGATTTCTTAATATTTGGCTAAAAATTTTTACAACTATTGTCATGAGGTATATTGGTGTATAATTCTCTTGTGGATAATATATCAGGTTTTGGTTATAGGTTTAGGCTAGATTCTATCTTCTAATGCAGTTTGAGTTATGTCATTTTTCCTTTATTAAATATTTAATAGAACTCACCAATGAGAATATTTGTACTTGGAGTTTTATTTGTGGAAATGTTTTTTCTTCATAAAAATTCTATTTCTTCAATAGGATATAGAAGTATTCAAATTTTCTGTGTGATCTTGTGTCAGTTCTGGTATTTTGCAAATAAATGTTGTCTATTTAAGTTCTAATAATTATTTGCTTAGAGTTCTTCAAGCTTTCTGAATCTTTAAATTTGTCTTTTGCTATACTTGTGAAATTATCTTCAAATATATTTTCAACCTGGTTACTTCTCTTCTACTGGGACTCTGATTACATCTACACTATGTGGTTTGATATTGATGACACAAGTCCCTGAGGCACTGTTCACTCTTTATAAATTTTGTTTCTGTTTTATTCATATTGGATCAATATTCAAGGTCACTGATTGTTTTCTCTTCTACTGTATTCTGGTATTAAACCTATCCAGTGAATTTTAAATTTTAGATATTATATTTTAAGCTGTAGAATTTTTATTACATATTTCTACTCATAACTTGAAAATTCTTACTTTTTCATTAATTGCAAGCATATTTCCTATTACTAAATGGCTGCTTTAAAGTTTTTGTGTGCCAATTCCAACATCTAGTTCATTTTGGCATTCGTCTTTTCTCTCTAGTCTTATTAAATTTTTCTGTACCATTATATGTATAATTTTGGATTGTATCCTGCGCCTTATGAATGTTTTGTTTGTCTGTTTCCTTTTTTTGTGGAGACTTATGTCTGGTAATGTTCCTTCGGAGTTTTCAGTGGTTTTAAAAGGCAATTAACTTCATTTAACTCAAATTGCAAACACTGATTTTTGGGTGACAGCTCAAAAGTTGAGTGACAGTTGGGCTAGTTTGTGAATGCTTTGCATATATGCTTTGTTCATTTTCCGTCAGGTACTTGAGCAGAGTTTATGCATATCATTTGGGGCAGCCCCCTTTTAGCTCTCTCCTTTGCAATATTCCTCTTTTACTTTCCGGCTCTCCTCTTAGATAAACTGAATTTTCTACCAGTGTTTTAGCCTTTCTGTGCAGTGTCTGCACTTAAGCTAAAAGTTATAAAAGAGGGAGTGTTAGCCACACTAGAAGCAAAAGTCCTACTCCATTGTTTTCTGTCATTTAATGTTGATTAATAAATGAATGCAAGTATCCTTCTTATTTCTCCAGCTTCTTCTATCCATATTTCCTAAGATTCTTTCTTTGATTTTTAAATTTGGTAAATTCAACAATGTAAGTCTCACTATCGTATTTTTTTTTCTGGATTACTGTGAACTATTTCAATCTATTTATTTATAAATACTATCTGTATTTTCTATCCAATGTACTTTTCTATTTCATTATTTCAATTTTCTTCTTCAGTCATATCAACTATCCATGTATTAATATGCTTTGCCTTTCCATTCTATCAGCTCTTCTCTAAATCTTTCATATCTGTCTTTTCCTCTGCTCTTTAAGATATTTTTCTTCAATCGCTCTTATTAAAATTATACTCTGATTCTCAGAGTTTTTAAATCTATCTTTGACACAATGGTTTTGCATATAGTCTATGTTTATTTTCTTCATTTCTTGGTATTTCTTGATTCCTAATTACCAGGGAATATGAGAAGTACTTAATACATCTCAGTTGCTGAGTGAAGAATCTAGTATATATTAAATTAATGTTTCCCACATTTTATAGTATAGAGGCTAGAACCAATGCCTGATTTCAATGTTGCTACTGTATACCACTTGTATTTTTATTTGTTTCTATTTCAAGCTGATTTGTAGAGGTAAATTGTAAATCTGTGCATATATCACCATTTTCCCTAGAAATGTGACTTTTATATTTTTCTATACAACATCCTAATCTGAATAGATAACAATTTGGTGAGTATTCAAACTTCATCTCTTTTAAAAAATTAATTTATCTATTTTATTATAAATTGACAGATCATAGTTGTATAGATTTCAAGGGTACAAAGTGATGTTATGATTTATAAATGTAATCTGGAATAATTAAGTCAAGCTAATTAATATAGCCATCATTTCAAATGCTTATCATTGTTGTAATTAGAACATTTGAAATTTGTTCTCAATGATTTTGAAATGTACAAGATGTGATTATTAACTATATTCACCATACTGTGCAATGGATTTTAAAAAAAATTGTTATTCCTCTCCTTTGATGCTTTGTACCTTTGAACCACCATCTCCCCATTAACCCCAATCCCCAGCCTCTGTAAATCACCATTCTACTTTCTGCTTTTTTGATGTATTTGATTGTTCTAGAGTCTACATGTGAGTGAGAACATGCACTATTTGTCTTTCTGTGACTGGCTTCTTTTACCTTCATATAATGTCCTCCAGGTTTATCCATGTTGCTGCAAATAACAATAAATTCGTAAATTTTTTTTTATTTTTTAAGGCTGAATAATACTTCATTGTGTATATATATACCACATTTTCTTTTTAGAAACCTTCTTTTAATGAAAGCAAATTTTTCTTTCTCAAAATTAGTTTAGATTTAGGGGGTACATATGCAGGCTTGTTACATGTATACAATGCATATACATAGAATGGTTTTGCAGTATGGTTTGGGCTTCTAGTGGACCCACCCCCAATAGTAAACATTGTACCCAATAGTGATTTTTAAACCCTGACTCCCCTCCTATGCTTCCCCTTTTTCAGTTCCCCAGTGTCCATTATTTCCATCTTTATGTCCACATGTAATTTAGCTCCCACTTATGTGAGAATGTGTGGTATTTGATTATCTGATTTTGAGTGATTTCACTTAGGATAATGGCTCCAGCTCCTCCCATGTTGCTACAAAGGGTGTGATCTCATTCTCTTTTTATGGCTGCATAGTATTTCATGGTACATATATACCACATTTTCTCAACCAGTCAACTGTTGATGAACACTTACATTGATTTCATGACTTTGCTGTTGTGAACAGTGCTTTGAGAAACATACTAGTGCAGTTGTTATTTTACACAATGATTTCTTTTCCAAGGGAAGGGAAGGAAAGGGGAGGGGAGGTGAGAGGAGCGGAGGGGAGGGGCAAGGGGAGGAGAAGTGGGGGGGGAGAGAGGGGAGAAGAGAGGAGGGGAGAAGGTGGGGGAGGGGAGGGGAAATGAGGGGGAGGGGAAAGGAGAGGGAGGATAAAGTAGGGGGAGGGGAAAAGAGGGGAGGGGGAGGGGTAGTGTGGTGGGTTTGCTGGGTGGAATGGTAGTTATATTTTTAGTTTTTTGAGAAATCTTCATATTCTTTTCCATAGAGGTTGTGTTAATTAAAATTCTCACCAACTGTATGAGAATTTGCATAGAATTTACAGGCGTTTCCTTTTCTTCACATCCATGGCAACACATTTTCTTTATCCATTCATTGTTGGATAGACACAAGGTTGATTTGATAACTTGGTTGTTGTGAATAGTACTGCAATGAACGTGGAAGTGCAGACATCTCTTTGGCATACTGATTTCATGTCTTTTGGGTAAATACTCAGGAGTGGGATTCCTGAATCATATAATTCTATTTAGTTTTTTTTAATTTCAATTTTAATTTTTTTTGAACCTACTTTATTTCAAGAGCACTTTTCTTTGAAGCTTTTTGTTTATTTATCTATTTTTATTTTTGTGGGTATATTATAGAGGCATATATTTATGAGGCACATAAGATGTTTTGATACAGGCATGCAAAGAATAATAATCACATAGTAGAAAAGGGTTACCCATCTCTTCAAATATTGACCCTCTGTGTTTCAAAATATTCAATTAAATTATTTTAGTTATTCTAAAATGTACAATTAAGTTATTATTGACTAGAGTCACCCTGTTTTGCAATCAAATAGTAAATCTTAGTCATTCTTTCTATTTTTTGTACCCATTAACCTTCCCCACTTCCCACCTCTACAACACTCCATGACTCTTTCCAGCCATCTTTCTTTCTACTCTCTTTCTCCATAAGTTCAATTCCTTTGGTTTTTAGATCCCACAAATAAGTGAGAATAGGCCTGTTCGTCTTCCTGTGCCTGGCTTATTTCACTTAGCATCATGACCTCCAGTTCCATCCATGTTGCTGTGAATGACAGGATTGTATTCATTTTTATGGCTGAAGAGTACTCCAATCCATTATGTATATGTACAATTTTTTTAATCCATCCACCTGTTGATGGACACTTAGGTTGCTTCCATAACTTGGTTATTTTGAATAGTGTTGCAATAAACATGGGAGTATAGCCATCTATTCAATATACTGATTTTCTTTCTTTTGGGTATATGCCCAGCAGTGAGATTGCTGGATCATATGGTAACTCAATTTTTAGTTTTTTTGAGAAACCTCCAAACTGCTCTCTATAGTGGTTGTACTAATTTACCTTCCTACCAACAATGTGCAAGGGTTCCCTTTTCTCCACTCCTCACCAGCATTTGGTATTGTCTGTCTTTTGGATAAAAACCATTTTAAATGGGGTGAGACGATATCTCATTATAGTTTTGATTTGTGTTTCTCTGATTATCAGTGATGTTCAGCACCTTTTCATATGCGTATGTCCCATTTGTATGTCTTCTTTTGAAAAGTATATATTCAGATATTTTGCCTATTTTTAATCAAATTATTAGATTTACACCTACAGAGTTGTATCTTTTCTCAGCTTTTCCTCTCTCTTAGCTCCGTCTCAATGTCCAAGTGGGCAAGATTTGGTAAACATTGTCAAGGATGGGAAATTCCAGGTTGTTTCTCATCTTGTAGCATCCTGAGCATGACCGAGACCAAAAAAGATACATTCTTTTTAAAATTTCTGCCTTCTTCTCACTAGAGTTGTCATATGGGCCAGATTGAGATGGTTGGGACACAGAGATGGAACAGATCCACTGGAGTTTGAATGCTTTTTGGAAATTGGCAGTATGAGGAATTCTGGATAGACAGATGCATAACAAATGTCAGACTGAGAGTATCTTCCCAGGTGAGGTGAGGTGGTTGGAAAGCCATTAGCATTGGTGGAAGTCCAGGTAGGGACACGAAGGCCTGGTGAGGAGTGAGTGACAAGTGAGTACCCTGGTTTGCAGGCAGAGCATGGTTTCAGAAAATCTTAGGATGAACAACAGACCATTGTTCAGAGAAACATAGGCTATCAGCACCAAGCAAATATAGTGAGAATTGATAGACTGAGGTCCATTAGAAAAACAGGAAAGGAACACAGATTTTTGTCCAGACAGTGCTTGGAAGTGAAAGAGGACACCAAACAGAATACTCTTGGAGAGATCACTCAAAACAGAAACCCAGTAATGAGAATTGGGTGGTTAGACAAAAACTGATTAACAATGAAGAAGCGAGAGCTGGTTATAAAAACAGGTTATGTACAAAAAAGAGCTGGTTATTTAAAAAATAACAGTAGTTTATAGAAATCGAGTCCTACAGGACTTACGAAACTACTTAATTCTTTGATAGAACTTTTTAAAAAGTTTCCTTAGCTATTTGATTCCAGAATCTGTGGTAGGGCTGAGCATGTACATTAAGCTTAGTTAGCATTTGGTTTGGGCACCTGATGAATGCAGAGAAATGTGTTAGCTTCCTGAGGTTCCTTTTGAGGTTTTTTCCTCTCATTCTCGGCAGGTAATTTTTATTATTTCTGCAATTTCCATTTCTAAATTCAATGAAAGAAATTCTCAAATGATTGATTGAGCCTGAAATTCTAGTTTTGGATTTATTCTTATTAAGCAAAAGTTTATTTAACATTAAACTTCAAATATTAAGCATAGGTTAACATAGGCCAAAATATCATAATTCGTTTGTTTGAAGCTCCTATTTTTGGTTTGTTGTTTGTTTTTTGAAACATGGTCACACTCTGTCACCTGGACTGGAGTGCAGTGAGGCAAACATGGCTCACTGCAGCCTGGACTTCCTGGATAATCAAGCGATTGTCCCACCTCAGCCTCTCAAAGTGCTGGGATTACAGGCTGGAGCCTCCATGCTTTGCCTGAAGCTGCTGTTCTGTATATTGCAGTTTAAATATTTCACCAGAGTTGTGATTAACATCAGAAAACCTGAAACTGCTACTTATGATACCTGGCCATAATATGGTACTGGTTTCCCAGAATGCAATAGAAAGTACGTTTTTAAAGATGTATATACCACCCTTACAATAGTGATACGCTATGCTTCAATGAATAAAAGTAAAATTTCTTAATACACTCATTTTATAAATGACATTTTCTGCTCATTGAATTGTGATATACATGCATAGCAGTACAAATATCACAAGTGTACAGCTCAACAAATTTCCAAAACCTGAACACACCTACATAGCCAGAGCTCAAATTATTTTTTAAAAACAAAAATACCAAATAATACCAGCCCCTAGTAAGTATATACCTCCCAAAAGTTACCACTATCCTAATTTGTGGTATCATGGATTAGTTAGCTAATGGATTGGTTTTGTTGTGAAACATTAATGGTTTTGTTGTGATATATATATGTAGCTATGTATGCAATTATTGAATCATATAGTGTGTCTAAATATTTCTCCCAATATTGTTTTAAAATTCACCTGTAATGTTAAAGAGATTTATAGTTCATTTAATCTTGTTGTGTAATATTTTATTTGGCATATATGCCACAGTTCATTTACACTAATGAACATCTGGGTGGTTTCTGATTCAGCACTATTATGAATAGTGCTGCTATGAACATTTTAGTACATGTCTTTTGGAGAACTCGTGTATTTCTGGTGGGTGCAGTGGAATTTCTGGGCCGTAGGTTATACTTATGTTAAATTTTAGTGGAAGCTGCCAAATAGGCAGGGCTTGAGAGTTTAAGTTATTCTGTATCCTTGCCAATAATTATTACTTTCCATTATTACAATTTTAGCCATTCCAGAGCCTGAGTACTCATGTTATTTGGGGTTTCAACTTTCATTTCTCTAATGGCTGATGAAGCTGAACAACTTTCAGTATGTTTATTAAATATTTGGATATAATTTCTGTAAAAAATATTTGCTCAAGGCTTTTGTTCATTTTTGTGTTTGGTTGCCTATTGTTTTTTAAAATTGATTTTAAGTCTTTTATGTAATTCGATATGAGTCCTTTGTTGATTATTTATGGCACGAATGTCTTCTCCAACTCTCTGGGTTGCCTTTTAATGTTTTTGTAATTTTTTAAATTTTTAATCTTCGTGGGTTCATAGTAGGTATATATATTTATGGGATACATGAGATGTTTTGATACAAGCATGAAATGTGAAATAATCACGTCATGGAGAATGGGATATCCATCTGCTCAAGACTTTATCCTTTGTATTACAAGCTATCCAATTACATTCCTATAATGATTTTAAAATGTACGATTATCATTGACTATAGTCACCCTGTTTTACTATCAAATAGTAGGTCATATTCATTCCTTTTATTTTTTGTACCCATTAACTTTCCCCACATCCCACCCCCTGAAACCCTCACTACCCTTCCCAGCCTCTGGTAATCATTTTTCTATTCTCAAATCTCCAAAAGTGCCTTTGGTTTTTTTTTTTTTTTTTTTTTTTTTTAGATAGATTCTCACTCTCGCCCAGGCTGGAGTGCAGTGGAGCAATCTTGGGTCGCTGCAATCTCCGCCTTCTGGGTTCAAGCAATTCTTCTGCCTCAGACTCACTGGAAGCTGGGATTACGGGTGCACGCCACCATGCCCAGCTAATTTTTGTATTTTTAGTAGAGACAGGGTTTCAGTATGTTGGCCAGGCTGATCTTGAACTCCTGACCTCAGGTGATTTTCTGCCTTGGCCTCCCAAAGTGCTGGGATTACAGACGTGAGCCACTGCACCTGACCCAATTGTTTTGGTTATTAGATCCCACAAATAAGTGAGAACATGGCATGTTTGTCTTTCTGTGCCTGGCTTATCTCACTTAACATAATGGTCACCAGTTCCATTTATGTTGTTGCAAATGACAGGATCTCACTCTTTTTGTGGCTGAATAGTATTCCATTTTATATATGTACCATTGTGTCTATGTATCTGTTGTTAGACACTTAGATTGCTTCCAAATCCCAGCTCATGTAAATAGTGCTGCAATAAACATGGGAATGCAGATATCTTTTTGATATACTGAATTCCTTTCTTTTGGGTATATGCATTGTAAGTATATATAAAATATTAGTTTGGTGCAAAAGTAATTGTAGTTTTTGCCATTAAAAGTAATGGCAATTTAATCTTGTGCAATATTTCATTTGGTATATATTCCACAGTTCATTTATCCTAAGGAACATCTGGGTGGTTTCTGATTCAACACTATTATGAATTTGGAGATTCCTCAAAGAAATAGTTTTAGTTCTTTAGAACTTGTGTGAGCAACTTTCAATATGTTTATTAAATATATTCAAAAGTTGTTCATACCCAGCAGTGGGATTGCTGGATTATATAGTAGATATAGTTTTAGTTTTTTTAGGAATCTCCAAATTGTTTTCCATAGTAGATGTAATAATTTATATTCTCACTGAAAGTGTACAAGAGTTCCCTTTTCTCCACATCCTCACCAACATTTGTTATTGTCTGTCTTTTGGACAAGTCATTTTAACTGAGGTGAGATGATATCTCATTATAGTTTTGATTTGCATTTCTCTGATAATCAATGATGAGTACCTTTTCATATGCCAGTATGATATTTTTATGTCTTCTTTTGAGAAATGTCTATTCAAATGTTTTGCCAATTTTGTATTGGATTATTAGATTTTTTTCTATAGAGTTGTTTGAGCTCCTTATATATTCTGGTTGTTAATCCCTTGTCAGATGACTAGTTTGCAAATATTTTCTCCCATTTTGTGAGTTGTCTCTTCACTTTGTTGAGTGTATCCTTTGCTGTGCAGAGCTTTTTAACTTGATATGATCCCATTTGTCCATTTATGCTTTGGTTGCCTATGCTCATGAGGCACTATTCAAGAAACTTTTTCCACCCTTATTATAATGATACCTGGAAAAAAAAAGAAAGAAAGAAAGAAAAGTTTGCCAAGACCAATGTCCTGGATTTTCTCCCCAGGGTTTTCTTGTAGTAGTTTCATCATTTGAAGTCTTAGACTTAAGGCTGTAATTCATTTTGATTTGATTTTTGTATATAGTGAGGGGGAGGGTTCTAGTTTCATTCTTCTACATATGAATATCCAGTTTTTATAGCATTATTTATTGAAGAGACTGACTTTTCCCTAGTTTATGTTCTTGACACCTTGGTCAAAAATGAGTTGACTGTAGGGTGTATGGATTTTTTTCTGAGTTGTTTATTATGTTCCATTGGTCTATGTGTCTGTTTTCATGACAGTGCCATACTGTGTTGATGACTATAACTCTGTAGCATAATCTGACTTCAGGTAATATAATTCCTCCAGTTTTGTTCTTTTTGCTCAGCATTGATTGCTTTTACTCAGATTATTCTGAGTCTTTCATGGGTTCAAATAAATTTTGGCATTGCTTTTTCTACTTTGAAGAATGTCCTTGATATTTTGATAGAGATTGTATTGAATTTGTTGATTGCTTTGCGTAGTATGGACATTTTAACAATATTCATTCTTCCAATCTATGAACATGGAATACATTTTCATTTTTTGCTATCCTCTTCAATTTCTTTCTTCAGTGTTTCATACTTTGCATTATAGAGATTTTTCACTTCTTTGGTTAAGTTCATTGCTAGGTATTTAACTTTATATGTGGCTATTGTAAATGGGATTCCTTTTTTATTTCTTTTTCAGATTGTTCACTGTTGGCATATAGAAATGCTACTTATTTTTGTATGTTGATTTTGCATCTGGCAACTTTGGCGAGTTTTTCAATTCTAATGCTTTTTTGTGGCATCTTTAGATTTTTTCAAATATAAGATCATATCATCTGCAAATAAGGATAATTTGACTTTGTCCATTGCAGTTTGGATGCCCTTTATTTCTTTTATCTGATTGCTTTAGCTAGGACAACCAATACTATATTGAATAAGAATGGTGAAAATGTGCATTCTTGTCATGTCCCAGATCTTAGAGGAAAGACTTTCAGTTTTTCCCCATTTAGTATGATACTAGCTGTGGGCCTGTCATATATTGCTTTTATGTTGAGGTATGTTCCTTCTATCTTCAGTTTTTTATTTAGGGTATTTTATCATGAAAGGAAGTTGAATTTTATCAAATTCCTTTAATCATCAATGAAAGGATCATATGATTTTTATCCTTCATTCACTTGATACAATGTATCACACTGATTAATTTGAGTATCTTGAGTCATCTTTGCATTACAGAAATAATCCCCCTTGTTCATGATGAATGATCTTTCTAATGTATTGATGAATTGGTTTGCTAGTGTTTTCTTGAGGACTTTTGCATCAATATTCACCAGAGATATTGGCCCATAGTTTTCTTTTTTTAATGTGTGTTTGTCTGGTTTTGGTATCACGGTAATACTGGCCTCATAGAATGAGTTTGAAAATGTTCTGTCCTCCTCTATATTTTGGAATAGTTTAAGTAGGATTTGTATTAGTTTTTCTTTAAACGTTTCATAGAATTCAGCATTGAAACTAAGTCCTGGGATTTTGTTTACTGGGAGAATTTTTATTACGTTTTGATATTGTTACTTGTTATTGGTGTGTTCACCTTTTGGATTTTTTTTTATGGTTCAGTCTTTGTACGTTGTATGTGTCTAGGAATTTTACCATTTCTTCTAGATTTTTCACTTTGTGGACTTACGTTGCTCATAGAGGCCACAAATAATCCTTTGAATTTCTGGGATAGCAGTTGTAACGTCTCCATTTTCATTTCTGATTTTATTTATTTGGACCTTTTCTCATTTTTTCTTTGTCTGGCTAAAGTTTGTCAATTTTGTTTAATTTTTAAAAAAACAACTTTTTGTTTCATTGATTTTTGTTGTTTTTTATTTCAGTTTCATTTATTTCCGCTCTGATCTTTATTATTTATTTTCTTCTAATTTTGGGTTTGGTTTGCTCTTGCTTTTATAGTTGTTTAAGGTTTAGAATTAGGTGTTTTTTGAAGTTTTTTCTCTTATTTGTTATAGGCACTTAAAGCTACAAGCTTCCCTCTGAGTAGTGCTTTTGCTGTATCCCATAGGTTTTGGTATGTTTTGTTTCCATTGTCATTTATTTCAAGAAATTTTTTAGTTTCCTTCTTAATTTCTTCATTGACCCACTGGTCATTCAGGAGCATATTCTCTAATTTCTATGTATTCGTATAGTTTCCAAAACTCCTATTGTTATTAATTGCTAGTTTTATTCCATGGTGGTTAGAGAAAATGCCTGATATTATTTCAATTTTTTGTGTGTTTTAAGACTTCTTTTGTGACCTAACATATGATCTGTCCTTGAGAATGAGCCATGTGCTGAGGAAAAGAATGCATATTGTGCAGCTGTTGGATGATATGTTCTGTAAATATCTATTAGATCCATTTGGTCTCTAATGCAGTTTAAGTCTCATGTTTTGTTTTGTTTTTTTTTTCTCTTTTTCTGATGTTCTGTTTGGAAGATCTATCCAATGCTGAGTGTGGGGTGTTGAAGTCTCCAACTATTATTGTACTGGGGCCTATCTCTCTCTTTAGTTCTAGTAATATTTGCTTTATATATCTATGTGCTCTCATGTTGGGTGCATATGTATTAAAAATTGTTATATATTTTTGCTCTATTGATGCTATTATCATTATATAGTGACCTTTCTCTCTTCTTACAGTTTTTGTCTTGAAATCTACTATGTCTGACATAAGAATAGCTACTTCTGTCCTTTTTTAGTTTCTATTGGCATGGAATATCTTTTTCCATCCCTTTACTTTTAGTCTACTTGTGTCTTTTTATGTAAAGTGTATTTACTGTAGGCAATAGATCAATGGGTCTTGTTTTTTTTTCATTCACTCAGCTAGTTGATATCTTCTGATTGGAAAGTTTAGTCCACTTACATTCAATGTTATTATTTATATGTAAGAACTTACTCCTGCCATTTTGTTATTTGTTTTCCGGTTGACATGTGACTTTCTTTCTTTCTTTCCTTCCTGTCTTTTTTTAATAGAGGTAATTTTCTCTGGTGATATGATTTTCTTTCTTGCTTCTCATTTTTTGTGTATTCATTGTATGTTTTTTGGTTTCAGGTTATGTCGAGGCTTGTAAATACTGTCTTACAACCATTATTTTCACCAGATAACAATTTAACACTATTTGCATAAAGAAACAAACAAATAAAACTAATAAAAACTGTATGCCTTAACTTCACCCTGCTTTTAAATTATTGTTATTTCTATTCATATCTTATTTTACAGTTGTGTCTTGACAAGTTGTTATAGTTATTATTCTTGATTGGTTCATCATTTGGTCTTTCTACTTAGGATAAGAGTAGTTTACACACCACAGTTACAGTTTTACAATTTCTGTGTTTTTTTGTGTGTGTGTACTTGCTATTACCAGTGAGTTTTGTTCCTTCAGGTAACTACTTATTGTTCATTAATGTCCTTTTCTTTATGATTAAAGTAATCCCTGTAACATTTTTTACAGGACAGGTCTGGTGTTGATGAAATCCCTCAGGTTTTGTTTGTGTGGGAAAGTTTTTATTTCTCCTTCATGTTTTAAAAATATTTTCACCAGATATACAATTCTAGGGTAAAAGCTTCTTTTGTCCTTCAGCAGTTTAAATATGTCATGCCACTCTCTCTCTTCTGGCCTGTAAGGTTTCCACTGAAAATCTGTTGCCAGACATATTGGATCCTCGTTGTATGTTATTTGTTTATTTTCTCTTTCTGCTTTTAGAATCTTCTCTTTATCCTTTATCTTTGGGAGTTTGATTATTAAATACTTTCAGTTAGTCTTCCTTGGGTGAAATCTGTTTGGTGTTCTATAACCTTCTTGTCCTAGGATATTGATATCTTTCTCTAGGTTTGGGAAGTTCTCTGTTATTATATATTGGAATAAACTTTGTACCTGTATCTCTTTCTCTGTCTCCTCTTTAAGGCCAATAACTCTTAGATTTGCCTTTTGAGGCTATTTTCTAGATCTTATAGGCATGTTTCATTGCTTTTTATTATTTTTCCTTTGAACTCCTTTGTGTATTTTCAAATAACCTGTCTTCAAGCTCATTAATTCTTTCTACTGCTTTATCATTTCTACTATTAAAGGACTCTAATGCATTCTTCAGTATGCCAGTTGCATTTTTTAGCTCCCGAATTTCTGCTTGTTTCCTGTTAATTATTTCAATCTCCTCCTTAATCTGGTAGAATCCTGAATTCCTTCTTTGTTGTCTTGAATTTCTTTAAGTTTCCTCAACACAAGTATCTTGAATTACCTATACAATAGGTCACATAATTCTGTTTCTCCAGGATTGGTCGCTGGTGCTGTATTTAGTTTATTTGGTGAGGTCATGTTTTCCCGGATGGTCTTGATACTTATAGATGTTCATCTGTGGCTGGGCATTGAAGAGTTAGGTGTTTATTATAGTCTTCACAGCCTGGGCTTGTTTGTATCTGTCCATCTTGGGAAAGCTTTCCAGATATTTGAAATGACTTGAGTTTTGTGATTTAAGATGTATCTGTTTTATGGTGCATCCAAAACCCAGTAACACTGTGATTCTTGTAGATGCGCTGAGGTCCTACCTTGATGGTCTTGGACTAGACCCAGGAGAATTCTCTGGATTACCAGGCAGAGATTCTTGTTTTCTTCCCTTAGTTTCTCTCAAACAAATGGAGTCTCTCCCTCTCCCTCTGTTCTGACCCACCTGGGGGGTGGAATGACACGAGCACCCCTGTGGCCATTACCAATAGGACTGGGTCTTGTCTAAGGTTTGCTGTAACTACTTCCTGGCTACTGCCTATGTTCACTCAAGGCCATGAGGCTCTACAGTCAGCAGGTGGCAAAGCCAACTGTGCCTGTTTCCTTCCCTTTAGGGCTGTGAGGTCCTGCAGGACCTAGGCAGGTTTAGAGGTGTCATCCAGTAGTTAGGGACTAGAGTCAAAAACCTTAAACATTTACCTGGCATTCTATTTTACTGCAGCTGAGCTTGTAGGCAAACTACAAGATAGAGCATTTCCCAGTTTTCTCTCCCTTTTCTAATAACAGAGGAGCCTCGCCTCATGGCCTATGCCACCACAATTCCACTGTAAGACTACCATCAATGTTTCCTTCAGGGCCAAGGGCTCTTCAGTCAGCTTGTGGTAAATGCTGGTGGCTGGGACACTCCCTTCAGGGCAGTGGACTACACTCTGGCCCAGTGCAGATTCAGAAATGCCATTCAATACCAAGTCCTGGAATCAGAGACCCCAAGAGCCCACTTGGTGTCTACCCACTTGTGGCCAGGCTAGTACCTAAGGTGCAAGACAAAGTCTCTTTCACTATTCCCTCTGCTTTTCTCAAGATGGAGTCTCACATCAAAGCCACAACAGCTGGGAATGTGCTCAGTCTCACCTGAAACCAGCAAGTCTCTGACCCTCAATGTAGTACCTGGGTATATTGTTGGTTATTCAGAGCCCAAGGGCTCTTCAGTTTGCAGGTGATAAATCCTACCAGGACTGGATCCTTCCCTTCAAGACACTGGGTTCCCTTCTGGCCCAGAGTGTCTGGAAAAGTTGCACAGGAACTAGGACCTGAAATGACAGCCTCACAACTCTTGACCAGTGCCTATCCTGCTGTGGCTGAGTTGGTATCCAAAGTGCAAGACAGTCCCCCCACTCTTCCCGCTGCTCTGCTCAAGTAGTAGGAAGGAGTCTCTTTTGGAGCTGTGAGCTGTGCAGCCTGGGGTTAAAGGAGGGATGATGTCAGCACTGCCTTACCTTCCCTGGCTGTCTTAGTAGTTTGTGTGCCCTCTCAGTCCTCTGGTTCTAGGCCCAGTTCAACCCTAGGACTCACCTAAAAGTTGTAATCCTTGTTGTCTAAGCTGCCTTTCAAGTTTATCAGAGCCCCGGAGGAGAGCTTTAGCCCACAATGGCAAGGCTTTCAGGAAGTCAAATTCTGCCTGCTGGAATTGGCAATTTTCCTCTGTCTAGGGCTTGTTTAAATGCTTAAATGCTCCCTCCATGGGTGGATGCCAGCTGAGTTTGATCCAGTTTTGCTTTCTTCTATAACAGGATAGCACTGTGTTCAATGCCTCAAAATTGCTGCACTCTCCCTCTCTCTATTGCACAGAAACACTCCACACCACACTGCTGCTGCCAGAGAATGAGGGAAGAGTGGTGTCTGTAATTTGAGACTGTTTTCTCTACCTCTTCAGTACCTCTTTCAGTGATATGAAGTTAAAACCAACTACGATTGCTCATCTGACTTTTTGATCTTATAAAGGTTTCTGTTCGTTTGTGTTTGTTTGTTTTTTAGTGTAGATAGTTGTTAAATTGATATCCTTGTGGTTGAGATGACAGGAGAGGTTTCTCTTCTGCCATCTTGATCCATCCCTCTCCTCTATTTTTAGTTTTTTGAGGAACTCTATACAATTTTCCATAATGGCTGTACTAATTTGTATTCCTATCAACTGAGTAATCAATTTCCCATTTGCCCACATCCTGGCCAACACTGTTATCTTTCATCTTTTTCAAAATATGCATTCTGACAGGTACTAGATAAGAGCTTATGGTTTTAATGGGCATTTCTCTAATGATTAGTGATGTTGAGCATTTTTTAATTTATCCATTGACCTCTTGTATGTTTTCTTTTGAAAAATACCTATTCAGGTCCCTTGTCCAGTTTTAAATAATGTTGTTTTCTTTCTATAGAGTGTTTTGAGTTACTTATATATTTTGTATATTAACCCCTTATCTGATGCATGGCTTTCAGAAATGTTTCCTGAATCTGTAGTTTGTCTCTTCACTCTGTTAATTGTTTCTTTTGTTGTGTATTTTATTTTTTTCTTTAACTAGACTACATTATTGTGGTTGGTTGTTTAAAATATCTCCTTCAACATACTTACTAGTCCTCCAAGATATCATTACAATAAGTACCCAAATCTTTATCTCGAACATACCCTCCTCACCAGGCAAAAAGTAATGGACATTTTCTGTAGTCTTAAGTGATTATTCCTGATTAATGTTTATGCCATATTGATTTTGCAAGAAGTTAACTTCTGTCATTCTCCGCAACATTTTCAACAAATAATGCCATTAAGCAGCCTTGGAAAAATATATTCCTATAAAAGTCTTTCATCTGTAAGGTAAAAATAACTTATAAGATTATATAGTATATTTGAAGAAGTCTGGTAAGTACACATTATGTCTTTCTTACCTTCTCTGATTTGATTGGGAAATAAATAGCATTTAAGCATGCAATAAAAAAGATTGTCTTCAGAGAGCAATTATGTATAAGATCACATTTATGAATACTATACTATGATCAATTTAATATCTTTTGTGGAAAAGTCAATTATTAAAATAAGCATTTTACCTTATTTAGATTAAAAAGAGAAAAATGCTTTGGTGACAAAGAAAACATATTTATAAACCAAGTAAATAAATATGGGAATATAAGTGCTTATAAATTGTGCATTGCTCTGTTAAATGAACCATTTAAAGGAGACAGAACTAGTTGCCATAGCTATTTTATAAAATCAAACATCGATTTCAGTTTACTTTTGTATCCTTGTAGTAGAACTTAATAAGACCAGTAACTCACATTTTATCAGTTCAATTGATTGAAACTGGATTTTTGCTTTTAAATCACATGTTAAGATTGCAAAGAGATGAAACTTGCCTCAAATACCTTATTTTATTTCTACTCATGTTGGACATGAGTGCCTTTATCTTTTAATTATGAGAAACATTTTTCTTTTTTTTGTTTTTCAACATCCTTTCTGCTTTCCAGGTTTACCATTTTAGAATGTACCATTGACTAGACTTTCCATTCCAAACTAGTATCTTCAAAATACTCAGTGAAATTTATCAGTTCTGTATCTTCAGGAAATACAGCTGGGCCTTCCTTGGCCAAAATGTAAACTATCTGCTCCAGTTCTCTAGGCTTTTTTTTCTATTATCCTATTTTTTTCCAGGTGTTTTTGTTTGTTTGTTTTCTCACCTAACCAGTATACATTTCACCCACTAAACACTTGTGTCACAAATATAGAATCTCTTCCTTTTTTAGACAGTATTTTTTAAAGAACGTTTATTTATTTTTGTTAGCTATTGACAAATTATAATTGTATGCACTTATGGAGTACAAAGTGATGCTATAATATTTGTATACAATATGGAATGATTGAATTGAGCTAATTAACATAACCATCACCTCAAAAATTATTTATTTCTCCTGTCTAAATGAAACACTGTACTCTTTTATCAATATCCACCTATTACCCTCCCCCACAGTCGCTGGTTTCTGGTAACCACAGTTCTGCTTTCTTCCGTGTTAGCTTCTTAGCTTCCACATACAAGAACATGTGGCCTTTGTCTTTCTATAGCTGGCTTATTTTACTTAGCATAATGTCCTCCACACTCATATATGTTGTTGCAAATGATATAATTTCCCTCTTTGTAAAGGCTGAATAGAATTTCATTCTGTGTATATACTACGTTTTTGTCCATTAATTGACTGATGAAGGTTTATTCCAAAACTTGACAATTATAAATAAAGCTACAATAAACATGGAAGTGCAGGTATCTCCTTGACATATTGATTTCAAATCCTTTAGATATACTAGTGAAATTGTATTTTTACTTTTTTCAGGAGCCTCCATACAGTGTTCACCAATGGTTGTACCAAATTACATTCCCAACAATAGTCTAGTAGGGTTCTCTTTCTCCACACCCTCCCCTACACTTGTTATCTTTCATCTTTTTGATAATAGCTATCCTGATAAGTGTAAGGACATACCTCATTGTTTTAATATGCATTTCCCCAATGATTAGAGATGTCGAACATTTTTTAAATGTATCTGTCGGCCATTTGAATGTCTTCTTTTAAGAAATATCTGCTCTGCTCATTTGCCCATTTTTTAAATCAGGTTATTTGTTTGCTTTCTATTGAATTGTTTGCATTTCATATATATTTTGAATATTAACTCCTTATTAGATGTATGGCTTGCAAATATTTTCTCTCAATTCATAGGCTGCATCTTCATTCTGTTAATTTTTTTCTTTACCCTACAGAAGTTTTAAGTGTGATATAATCCTATTTCTCTATTTTTGGTTTTGTTCCCTGAGCTATCATGGTCAAACGTAAAACATTGTCCAGACAATTGTTGTATAGTTTTCCCCTGTTCTTTTTCTCTTTTAGTAGTTTTACAGTTTCACTTTTTACATCAATTTTTAACCCAGTTTGAGTCGCTTTTGTATATGGCATGAGATGAGGGTTCAATTTTATTCTTTTGCATGTGAATACCCAAATTTCCCCATATCCTTTATTGAAGAGACTGTCTTTTTTCTATATTGTGTTTTAGACACCTTTATCAAAAATCAATTGACAGTGAATAAATGGGGTTTTTTTTTTTTTGGCTCTCTATTCTGTTCCATTGGTTGATGGATGTGTCTATTCTTATGCCAGTACCATGCTGTTTTAATTACTATCATTTTGTAATATATTTTGAATTCAGATAGTGTAATGCCTCCAGCTTTGTTTGTTTCAGGGTGCAAGATTGTCTTGGAAATTTGTACTTTTTTGTGGTTTTATATAAATTTTAGTTATTTTTCCATTTCTGTGAAAAATGAATTTACATTTCGGTAGAATTTTCATCAATATGTAGATCACTTTGAGAAATAGGGACAGTTTGTTTATTTATTTATCTACTGAGACAGAGTCTCACTTTGTCACCCAGGCTGGAGTGCAATGGCATGATCTTGGCTCACTGCAACCTCCACCTCCCAGGTTCAAGCAATTCTGGTGCCTCAGTGTCCCAGGTAGCTGGGATTACAGGCCTGTGTGCCGCACCCAGCTAATTTTTTGTTATTTTAGTAGAGTCAGGGTTTAATATGTTGGCAAGCCTGGTCTTGAACTCCTGTGCTCAAGTGATCCACCCATGTCAGCTTCCCAAAGTGCTGGGATTACAGGCATGAGCCACCACAGCTGGCTAATAGTGACATTTTAACAATATTAATTCTTCCAACCTGTGAACATAAAATATCTTTACATTTACTTGTGTCATCAATTTCTTTCATCAAAGCTTTGAAATTTTTAGTGTGCAAATCCTTCACATCCTTGGTTAAATGTATTTCTAAGCACTTTTTATTCTTAGTAGCTGCTGTAAATGAAATATATTTCTTCATTTCTGTTTCAGATTGTTCATTGTTAGTGCATAGAAACACTACTGACTTTTATATGTTGATTTTTTTTATCCTGCAACTTTACTATATTCATTTATTAGTTCTAACAGTTTTTTTTGGAGTCTTTAGGTTTTCATACATAAGATCATGTCATCACCAAACATGAACAATTTTCTTAATCTTTTCCCATTTGGAAGTATTTTATTTGTTTCTCTTACCTAATTGTTCTGGCAAGGAGCGCTATAGTCACTTTCAGCACTATAGTGAAGAGGTGAAATTAGACATTCATGTCTTGTTTCTGATCTTATAGGGAAAGTTGCCATTGTTTTCATCATTAAGTATAATGTTAGCTGTGGCTTGTCATGCATGGCTTTCATTGTGTTGAGGTACATTCCTTCTATAGCTAATCCATTGGGAGATTTTATCATGAAAGGATGCTGAATTTTGTCAAAAGCTTTTTCTGCCTCTAATGAGATTGATCATATGGTTTTTGCCCTTCATTCTATTAATGAGGTATATCATTCTTATAAATTTGGATTATGTTGAATCATCCTTGCATCCCTGTGATAAATTCTACTTGATCATATTAAATGATTAAATGATTCATTTAATACACTGTTGATTAGATATTGCTAACATTTTGTTCGGGATTTTTGCATTTATTTTCATTTGGGATATTGGCCTGCAATTGTTTTTCTTATAATGTCCTTGTCTGGCTTTGGTACCAGGATGATTCTACCCTCATAAAAAAAAAATTGGAAATACTCATTTTTGTAAGAGTTTGAGATGGATTTATATTAGTTCTCCTTTAAGTGGTAGAAATAAGTAAAGCCATCAGATCCTGAACATTTACTTCATGGGAGACTTTATTACTGATTCTCCCTTTAATGGTTATTTTTTATATATTTTCTATTTCTTCATGATTCAGACTGAATAAGTTGTATGTATCTACGAATTTATCCATTTCTTCTAATTTATTTATTGGTTGGCATACAATTATTCAAAGTAATCTCTTATGATTCTTATATAGCTATACTATCAGTTGTAATTTTTCTCTTTTTTCTGACTTTAGTTATTTGAATTGACTCTCTTTTTTGTTAGTCTAGGTGAAGTTTCATTGACTATGTTTATCTTCTCAAAAAACTTATTGATTTCATAGATTTTCTTCTATTGTTTTTCTAGTCTCTATTTGATTTATTTCTTTTCTAACATTTATTTTCTTATTTCTTCTAACTTTGGGCTTAATTTTTTCTTCTTTTTTCTTTTATTTGAGGTGTAACATTAAGTTATTCATTTGAGATTTTTAAATATAGAACTGTTTTTGTTGTATCCCATAAGTTTTGGTATGTTGTGCTTCCATTATTGTTTGTCTTAAGTTTTTAAAAATGTCCCTTTTGATTTCTTCTTGACCCATTGATTATTCAAGAATATATTGTTTAATTTCCACATATTTGTGAATTTTCCAAGATTTCTTCTGTTTTTGATTTATAATTGCATACACTTGGATTAGAAAAAATATTTGATATGTTTTCAATTTCTTCAATCTGTTCAGACTTGTTTTGTAGCCTAAGATGTAATCTATCCTGGAGAATGTTCCATGTTCCCTTTCAAAGAACATGTATTCTGTTAAATGGAATGTTCTGTATATGTCTATTACATCCGTTTGGTCTAAGGATATTTCAAAGCTAATGTTTTCTTATTTATTTTCTGTCTGAATGATTTGTCCATTGTTGAAAGTAGGGAACTGAAATCCTCACTCTGATTGTATTGCATTTGATATCTCCCTTCAGATCCTTTAAGATTTCCCGTACATATTTAGGTGTTCCAACGTTGGGTGTATTATGTATTTACACTTGTTATATCTTCCTGATAGATTTATCCTTAAACATTATGTAATAACCTTCTTTATCTTTTTTTACTGTGTTTGATTTAAAGCCTACTTTAAGTATAGCTAACCTTGGTCTCTCTCTTTTGGTTTTCATTTGCATAGAATATTATTTTTCATCCCCTCACTTTCAGTCTATGTGTGGCCTTAAATGTGAGTTGAGTCTATCTGGGTAGCATAGAGCTGGGTCTTGTTTTTTAAATCAAGTCAGTAACTCTATGTCTTTTTATTGGACAATTTAATTCATTTACATTCAAAGTAATTAGTGATAGGTAAGAACCTACTACTACCATTTTGTAATTTATTTTCTGCTTTTTTGAGCTTTTATATTTGTTTACTTATTATTTAATTTTAAAAACATTATTATAATTGAGTACTAAAACAAAAACAATAGCAGGTAGTGAACACATTATGATTACAATCCTTCATTCACTCACTACTGCTCATCAAATGCCAGGAGTGAGTGTTACTCACTGGTCCGTTTATGAAGTTTGGCAGTGAACACCACCTCTGGGATGATGTTTATCATCCTCACATGTTTCTCCATTGTAATAGTGCTGTTTTTCCTGATTTGAATCAAAATACACCAGTTCTAACTTGATCCATTTCATCAATCTCTTCTATTTCCTTCCTGTCAGGTAGGAGTTTACCCAACTAAGAGAGCTTATCATGAGACAGAAAACCATTCTCAGGAAAGTTTACCTTGAATTTGATGATTAGGTGATGCTTTTCATATGGTCTATGAAAAACTGGCATGACTTCATTTAGCACACATTTGATATCTCCATATTTGACAATGTGACCTGGGTGAGAGGTGATGACTATAGTTCAGTAGTCAAGAGTGGATATTGGTTTTTGGAAACCACACAACATTTTAACCAGCTGTCTGTCCATAGACATAAACTAGTCTTCTTGTCAAGTAAAAACAGCATGGTCCTTTTCATCTAACTCAATGATAATATCTCCTGGCTCCAATCCTGGTTCTTTGTCTCTTTCACCATGAAATGTTATCTTCTGGCCATATTTCATGTCTTTGTCAACATGAACTTCTAGAATCTTTTCCCCTCAAACTATCCTTCTTCCATTTCAGTGTTTACATCTGTCTTTAGGACTGATTCATTCTCCATGACCGTGGCACTCCATGCATACATAGAGACTAAGTATGCTGAACCATCCCAGGCCCTATTGCATGAATTCTTATTTACAGTCCAGTAACTTGGCAACTGGGACAACACTATACTTCTCTCCTCTTTTTTTCCCCACTTCTGTCTTCACATTAGTCACAAATTACATTCTTGTGAAGTACCAATTTTCTTGTTGTACCATCACATACATTTTTTAAGGTTTTGAGAGCTGATGCACAACAATGTTACTCCTCTTTCCTCTCTGCATTCTTCTTCCTCCATAAATAATTATATTGAAGATGTCCATAGGGGACCCAGAACTGCCACTTGCTCAGCCCTCTTATTTACCTGTTATCTTCCTTTGTTATACAATTCTCTTTTCGTGGCATCAGAAATAACTTTGTAAACTTGAGAAATCTGTTTAAACTTCTCTCCATTTGGATTTTTATCAGGGTGGTACTTCAAGGCCAGTTTCCTATAAGCCTTTTTCAGTTCTTCCTTAGTGGTACTTTGTTTGACCCTCCAAAAATCATGGAAACTGGTTTATTTCACCATTTTCTACAGCTACTGAGTAGGATGAGGCCAGTGTGAGAAAGCGGAAAGGACTGTAGTAACTTTTTGAAGCTCGGGCAGTTTCCACTTCTCTACATCTCACTGAGTATTCTGGAAAGTTCGGCCCGGTGAACTGAAGCCCTTGTCTTTTGTCTTCTGCTTGTGTTTTATATATATTTTTTCTTCCTCTATTGCCATCATCATTTGTGACTTAATGGTTGTCTGTAGTGAATTGTTTATATTTATATTTTAAAAATCTAGTACAGATATTTGCCTTTTTGTTATAAGACTTGCATAAAACATACTTATAACAAACTATTTTAAGCTGATAACAATTTAACTTTGATTGCATTTGCTTTTGTAGAGTTACAAAACTCTACACTTTTATTATACCCACATTTTATGTTTTTGATGTCAAAATTTACATTATTATATAATTTGTATTCCTTGAAAATTAAATTTTACCTATTGTTGTTTTGATGTATTTTTATTAACTATCATACTGAGATAAAACTGGTTTAAACATCACCATATCAGAGTATATTGAATATGATTCTGTATTTCTTCTACCATGAATTTTTATGCTTTTGTATGTTCAAGTTAATAATTAGTGGTCTTGGTGCATTTTAAAGAAGGTCCTCTAGTCATTCCGGTAGGTCAGGCCTAGTGTTAGTGAACTATCTTAGTGATATGATTTGGCTGTGTCTTCACCCATATCTCACCTTGAATTGTAATAATCTCCATGTGTCAAGAGCAGGGCCAGGTGGAGATAATTGAATCATGGGGGCAGTTTTCCCCATACTGTTGTCACGATAGTGAATAAGTCTTATGAGATCTGATTGTTTTATAAATGGGAGTTTCCCTGCCCAGGCTCTCTTGCCTGCCACCATGTAAGACGTGATTTTGCTCCTCCTTTGCCTTCTGCCATGATTGTGAGGCCTCCCCAGCCATGTGGAACTGTGAGTCAACTAAATCTCTTTCCTTTATAAATTACCCAGTCCCTCATATGTCTTTATTAGCAGCGTGAGAACAGACTAATACAGTAAATTGGTACCAGGAACTAGTGGGGTACTGCTATAAGGATACCCAAAAATGGGGAAGAGACTTTGGAATTGGGTAACAGGAAGAGGTTGGAATACATCAGAGGGCTTAGAAGAAGGCAGGAAAATGTGGGAAAGTTTAGAGCTTTCTAGAGACTTGGAGGGGTCAGAAGAGGATAGGAAGATGTGGGAAAGTTTGGAACTTCTAGAGACTTGGAGGGCTCAGAAGAACAGAGGAAGATATGTGAAAGTTTGGAACTTCCTAGAGACTTGGAGGGCTCAGAAGAACAGAGGAAGATGTGGGAAAGTTTGGAACTTCCTACAGACTTGTTGAATGCCTTTGACCAAAATGCTGATAGTGATATGGACAATGAAGTCCAGGCTGAGGTGTTCTCAGATGAAGATGAGGAACTTGTTGGGAACTGAAGTAAAGGTCACTGTTGCTGTGCGTAGAGATTGGCATCATTTCTCCCATGCCCTACAAGTCTGTGGGACTTTGAACTTGAGAGAGATGATTTAGGGTATCTGGTGGGAGAAATTTCTGAGCAGCAAATCATTCAAAAAAAGCAGAGGCTGGGCATGGTGGCTCACACCTGTAATCCCAGCACTTTGGGAGGCCAAGGAGGGCAGATCTCCTGAGATTAGGAGTTCAAGACTAGCCTGACCAACATGGAGAAACCCCATTTCTAATAAAAATACAAAATTAGCCAGGCATGTTGGCACATGCCTGTAATCCAAACTACTCAGGAGGCTGAGGCAGGAGAATTGCTGGAATCTGGGAGGTGGAGGTTGCAGTGAGCCAAGATTGCACCATTGCACTACAGCCTGGGCTACAAGAGCAAAACTCCATCTCAAAAAAAAAGCAGAGCATAAAAGATGAAAGTTGGAAAAATTTGCAGCCTGATGATGTGATAGAAAAGAAAACCCCATTTTCAGGGGAGAAATTCAAGCTGGCTGCAGAAATTGGCATAAGTAAGGAAGAGCCAAATGTTAATCACCATGACAATGGGGAAAATGTCTCCAGGCCATGTCAGAGACCTTCATCTGCAGCCCCTCCCATCATAGGTCCAGAAGCCTTGAAGTAATAAATGGTTTTGTGGGCTAGGCCCAGGGCCCCCTGCTGTGTGCAGCCCAGGGACTTGGTGCCCTGAATCCCAACTGCTTCACATCCAGCCATAGCAAAAAGGGGCCAAGTATGGCTCAGGCCATTGCTTCAGAGGGTGCAGGTGCAAGACCCATGCCTTGGCAGATTATACCTGGTGTTGGGCCTGCAGGTGCACAGAAGTCAAGAACTGAGGTTTGGAAAACTCCACCTAGCGTGCAGAAGATGTATGAAAATGCCTGGATGTCCAGGCAGAGATGTGCTGCGGGGACGTAGTCCTCATGAAAAATCTTTGTGAGGGCAGTGCAGAAGGGAAAGTGGGATGGGAGCCCCCACACAGGGTCCCCATTGGTGCACTGCCTAGTGGAGCTGTGAGAAGAGGGCCACTGTCCTCCAGACCCCAGAATGGTAGAGCCACTGACAGCTTTCACTGCACCTGGAAAAGCTGCAGACAACGCCAGCCTGTGAAAGCAGCTGGGAGGGGACTGTACTCTGCAAAGCCACAGGGGTGGCACTGCCTAAGCCCATGGGAGCCCAACTCTTGCACCAGCGTGACCTGGATGTGAGACATAGAGTCAAAGTAGATCATTTTGGAACTTTAAGGTGTAATGACTGCCCTATTGGGTTTTGGACTTGCATGGGACCTGTAGCCCCTTCATTTTGGCCAATTTCTCCTATTTGAAACATGTGTAATTACCCAATGCCTGTACCCCAATTGTATCTACGAAGTAAGTAACTTGCTTTTGATTTTACAGGCTCATAGGCAGAAGGGACTTGCCTTGTGTCAGATGAGACTTTGGACTGTGGACTTTTGAGTTAGTGTTGACATGAGATAAGACTTTGGGGGACTGTTGGGAAGGCATGATTGTGTTTTTAAATGTGAAAAGGGACATGAAATGTGGGAGGGGTCAGGGGCAGAATGATATGGTTAGGCTGTGTCCTCATCCAAAACTCACCTTGAAGTGTAATAATCCCCTCATGTCCAGGGTGGGGCCAAATAGAGATAATTGAATCACAGGGGTGGTTTCCTCCATATTGTTCTAATTGTAGTCAGTAAGTCTCATGAGAGCTGATGGTTTTATAAATGGGAGTCCCCCTTCACAAATTCTCTTGCCTGCCACCACGTAAGATGTGACTTTTCCCCTCCTTTACCTTCTGCCATAATTGTGAGGCCTCCCCAAGCATGTGGAACTGTGAGTCAATTAAACCACTTTACTTTATAAATTATCCAATCTCAGTTATGTCTTTATTAGCAGCATGAGAACAGACTAATACACTTAGCTTTTGTTTATCTGGACGTCTTTATTTTTGTCTTATTTCTGAAAGACAACTTTGTTGGATAAAATATTCATGGTTGGCATTTTTTTTTTTCCTTTAGCAGTTTGAATATATTACTTCAGTCTTGCCTGGGCTCTGAGGTTTCTGCTGAACCATTCTCTTATAGCCATATTGGGACTGTTTTCTATGTGATATGTTCCTTATCTCTTGCTATTTTCATAACTTTTTTCTATGTCTTTGATGTTTGATAGTTTGATTATTATGTCCCATGGCAATCTCTTCTTTTGGTTGAATTTAACTGGAGAATTTGGGGATTCTTGCACATAGTCGTTGGCATTGTTACTTAGATTTGGGAAAATTTTAGCTATTATTTCTTTAAACATGTTTTCTGGCCCTTTTATCCATCTTCTCCTTCTTAAAATCCTATTATGCATGGATTAGGCCTCTTGATGATGTTCAGTAATTTTCACAGACTTCCTTCATTCTTATTATTTTCTTGGCTTATTTTACTGGTTAATTTCAGATATTCTGTCTTCTAACTTACTAATTCTTTTCTCTGTCTGATCAAGCCTGTTGAAGCTTTCTATTGCACTTTTTCTTACATCCATTATATTCTTTATCTCTAGGATTTCTATTTGTTAGTTTTTTAATGTTTAAAATTTCTTTATTAGTGTTCTCATTTTGTTCATTTATTACTTTCAAATTTCACTTAATATTTTATTATTTTTACATGTATTCTTGAAGCTAATTAAACTTCTTTAAGAGGATTATTCTTAATTCTTTGTCTGCCACTTCATAGAACTCCATTTCTTTAGGGTCCATTATCGGAGTTTTCTTATTTCTTTTCACTTTTTTATTTACTTTATTGTTAAATTTCTCTTATTGTTTTCTAAATGTAGTTTAGATTTATGGGATACATGTGCATACTTTTTTACATAGGTATATTGTGTACTGGTGGGGATTGGGCTTCTGGTACATTCGTTAACCAAATATTGAACATTGTACCCAAAAGGTAATTTTTCAAAACTCACCCCATATCTATTACTTTGGAGTCCCTAGTGTCTATTTTTCTAACTATTTATCTATCTATCCATGTATACCCATTGTTTTGCATCCACTTATAAGTGAGAACATGAGGTATTTGGTTTTCTGTTTCTGCATTATTTTGCTTAGAATAATGGCCTCTAGCTCTATCCATGTTGCTGCAAAGGACATGAATTTATTCTTTTTATGGCTGGGTAGTATTCCATGGTGTATAGATACAATATTTTCTTTATCCAATCAATCTTTGATGGACACTTAGTTGGCTTAATGACTTCACTATTGTAAGTTGTACTGCAATGAATGTATGAGTGCAGATGCCTTTTAATATAATTATTTCTCTTCTTTTAGGTGCATACACACTCATAGGTTTGCTGGGTCAAATAGGAGTTATATTTTTAGTTCTACAAAAAATCCCTGTACTGTTTTCCATAGAAGTTGAACTTATTTACATACCCACGAACAGTATGTGAATGTTCCCTTTACTCCACATCCATAACAACATATGCTGTCTTTTTACAGTTTAGCAATAGCCATTTTGAATGGCTTTACATGATATTTCATTGTGGACTTAATTTGCATTTATCTGATCATTACTGATGTTGAGCATATTTTTATATGTTTGTTAGCCACTTGTATGTCTTCCTTTGAAAATAGTGTAGTTCATGTTCTTTGCTCACTTTTTAATGTTTTTTTTTTTTCCCCCTGTTTAGTTGTTTGAGTTCCTTGTGGATTCTGGATATTAGTTCCTTGTCAAATGCATAGTTTGCAAATATTTTCTCTGATTATTTAAGTGGTCTGTTTACTCTGTTGATAATTTCTTATGCTGTGCAGACACTTTTTGGTTTAATTAAATCCCATTTGTCTATTTTTGTTTTTGTTGCATTTGCTTGTAGGGTGTCATCATAAATTTTTTGTCTAGGTTAATGTCCAGAAGAGTTTTTCCTAGTTTTTCTTCTATGATTTTTATAGTTTCAGGTCTTACTTTTAAGTCTTTAATATTCAATTTTGTTTATCCATTCAAAAGACCAACAACTGAGTCCAAGAAATTATTTGTTATAATTTTGAGTTTTCTGAATTGATTAAGACTTGCTTTATGGCCAAGTATATGGTTAACTTTGGAGAATGTTCCATGCACAGATGAAAAGAACGTATATTCTGTGGTCATTGGATGCAATGTTCCATAAAGGTCTTATAGGTACATTTGCTCTATAGTCCAGTTTACATCCAGAATGTCACTGTTGATTTTCGGCCTTGATGATCTGTTTAGTGATGTCACTGGGGTGTTGAAGTCCCGTACTATTATTGTATTGCTATCAGTTTGTTTTCTTAGGTCTAGTAGTATTTGTTTTTTGAATCCGGGTGCCCCAGTATTAGATGCATACATATTTACAATAGTTAAATCTTCTTGTTCCATTGAAACGTTTATCATTATATAATGCATTCTTTGGTGTGTTTTTACTATTATTTAAAATCTGGGACAGGCACAGTGGCTCACACCTGTAATCCCAGCACGTTGGGAGGCCAAGGGGGACAGATCATGAGGTCAGGAGATTGAGACCAGCCTGGCTAACACACGGTGAAACCCCATCTCTACTAAAAATACAAAAAATTAGTTAGGCATGGTGGCAGGCACCTGTAGTCCCAACTACTCGGAAGGCTGAGGCAGGAAAATGGTGTGAACCCAGGAGGCGGAGCTTACAGTGAGCCAAGATCGCACCACTGCACTCCAGCCTTTGTGACAGAGCAAGACTCCATCTAAATAAAATAAATAAAAAATAAAATCTGTTTTATCTAATGTAAGGATGGCTACTCTGGCTCATTTCTGTTCTTCATTTGTGTTATATATATTTTTCTATTTTTTTACTTTGAATCTGTAGCTGTCTTTAGTCATTACACCTGTCTCTTGTATACAGAAAATGGTGGAGACTTATTTTTTAACCCAACTTGCTACTCTGTATTTGTTAGGAGTATTGAGGCCATTTACCTTCCAGGTTAATATTATTATGTGGGATTTTGTTCTTGTCATAGTGTTGTTAGCTAGTTGTTTTGGCATTTCAGTTGTATGTAATGTTTTCTAGGATTTGTAATTTTTGTACTTAAGTGTTATTTTATGATGGTGAATACTATCCCTTCATTTCCATCTTTACAACCTCTCTGAGCCAGTCAAGTAGTGACAAATTCCCTCAGCTTTTGTTTGTCTGGAAAAGACTTTATTTATTTTTCATTTATGAAGGTTAGTGTGGCAGGATACAAAGCTGTTGGCTAGCTTCCCCCTCCCCCACCCCAATGCTAAAAATGACCTCCTAAGCTATTCTGGCTTACAGAGTTTCTGCTGATAAATCTGTTATTAGTCTGATAGAATTTCCTTTACAGATGATGCTTCTCTATTGCCACTCTTAGCATTTTTTCCTTCCTGTTGACTTTGGATAGTTTGATTATCATATGCCTTGGTGTGGTTCTTCTTGGATTGTATCTTGTAGGAGTTCTCTGAGCTTCTTGTATCTGAATATTTAAATATTTCCAAAAGCCAAGAGATTTTTCCTGAATTATTTTCTAAAATATATCTTCCATACTTTTTTACTTTTTTCTTCCTCTCCCTCTGGAATACATATAACTCATAAGTTTGAACACTTTACACAGTACCATATTTCTCAAAGGATTTGCTCAGTTTTTAAAATTCTTCATTTTTGTCTGAGTTAATTCAAAATGCCTCTCTTTCAGCTCTGAAATTCTTTCACTCAATTTAGCCTATTGTTAAATATTTCAATTGTATTTTGTAATTCCTTTAATGGATTTTTCATTTCTAGGAGTTCTGTTTAGTCTTTTTGTAATGATGTCAATCTCTTCTTTATATTCTGAATTGCTATTGTGATCTATTTGTGTTGCTTTTCAGCTTTCTCTTTAATCTCATTTAGCTTCTTTAAAATGAACATTTTGAGTTTTTTATGTGGTATTTCAAACATTTCATTTTGGTTAAGATCCATTGCTGGAGAGTTAATGTAGTGCCTTGAAGGCATTGTGACACTTTGTTTTTTTCCTATTTTTAGAGTTCCCACCCCCCCGCCCCCCCACACCCCGGCTTTTTCTCCTCTGGATAATTTATCTCCCCTTATTTTTTGAGTTAGATTTCATTTGGATGAAATTTCCCACCCTACCCCTCATTGTGGAGGTGGCTATAATGTATGTTGTCTATGGTCCTTTGACTTTGGTCTGGTTGCTTTCAGTGACCAAGAGTCTGTTTTTAAGTTCCTTGGTTATAGATAGCCCTTTCATAGTGCCTTTTCTAAATTCTGGTTGTAGTAGTCATGTTCTAGGCATATGAGCAGGTTCACTGGCACCTATGAGGCTGAAGCGATATTGGTATCAGGAAGCTTATCTTGCTACCCAGTGCTACGCACTGGTGTTGAAAGATTTCCTATTGTGTTATGCTGTTTCTCCTCGAGGCCAGTGGGTGGTGCTCATGGGTAAGAGCCAGAGAACTTCTCCCAGTAAACAAGGATCAAGTATATATTCATTTGCATCAAGGATCAAGTATATACCCATCTACATCATCAGTCACAGCTGATACACATAGGTATGTATACTTATTCCTTGTTTACTGGGAGAAATTTTCTATTGTCTCAGACAATGGGCTGATCTGTGTAATGCACAGTAGTCTGAGCTCCGTGCTCAGCCCTGGAGGGAAGGACCAAGATGACTGGGGCAGAGCTAGGCAGACCCACCTACAGGTTCCCAAATGGTAGGCATAGGCACCATCTTTGAGGTGTGGTCTTGTGGATAGCCATCAAGCACCTAGAGGTGTGCCTAGGCATGGAATTGGAAGACCTACATTGCCCTAAGTTCTCTGCATGGGAAGGGGGGTGGCCTAAACTTCTAATCTAGAAGAGTTGGTGCTCCAAACACCTGGAGATATGTCTGGGTGTCAAGCGGAAAGAACACCACTGCACTAACATCTCTGCAACTGAAAGGAAAGGTGGCTCAGGCTCCTAATCCATGCAAGTATATGTGCCTAATACATGGAAATATGCCCCAGCAATGATTGGAAAAACTGCTGTTACATGGGCTTTACAGGGGATGGGAGAAAATACTTAAGTTCCTAATCTGGTTGGGGGGCAGATGTGTCTCAAGGTGGGTGATATGCCCAGGGAAGGAGCAGAGAAACTGCCACCACAACAAGATCTTTGTATAGGAAGGTCAGGACAGCTCAAACACCTAATATGTGAGAGTGAGTGTGCTAAATGCTTGGAGTTACATCCAGGTGTGGAGCAGAAGAAGTGCCACTGCACCAAGTCCTTTGCATGGGAAGGAAATGGTACCTCAGGCTCCTATTCCAGGAAGGTAGGTACACCAAAAACCTGGAGATATATCCAGGTGTGGAGCAAAAAGTTTACCTTTGCACCAAGATTTCTGCAAAGGGGATTGTGTAGTCTCCTAATCTAGGGTGGCTCAGTCTCCCAATCCAGGTGAGTGTTTACTTCGATTGCCTGGAAATGTGTCCCTCTGTGAGACGGGAAGTTATCACTGCTACAACAAAGATTTTGTAGGAAAAAGGAGGGGCACCTCAGGCTGATAATCCAGGTGAGCAGGTGTGTGCTGAATGCCTGGAAATATGTCTAGTCATAAAGCGGAGAGGACTCCAGTGCCCCAAAATCTCTGCACAGAAAAAGAGCAAAAACTTACTAATCCAAGTGAGTGGGTGATCCAAATGCCTGGGAATATGCCTGGGTGTGAGGTGGAGAGAGGTTCACTGCACACAGATGCAAGAGAAGGATGGGTTGGACCATACTCCCAATTCAGGTGAGCAGGACTAGAGTGGGGCACTCTACCCTGGTTGACCAAGGGAGCAGTCCGGGGCACCCAGCAATGGCATATGTAGGCTGGTTCCAAGTCACAAATCTGTCTCTGGCTGCAAATCCCAGATTAAATCTTGGCTTGAGCAACTCTTCTTGCTGCAGTCTTGTGACTGGAGAGAGCTGATTCCAGTGCTTACCACTGAGGTGCTCTCCACACTTGCCATTCAATTCTGGCTGTGAGCATTAGTCCTCCAATGCAGAGCAACTACTCCAATCTCTGGCCCTTGACCAAAATGCCTGCAGTGGCTGCCGCTTCCAGGTCACCAAACAACGACTGATGTTCTATAAGCCTGAATTGAAAATGATTTCCTCCTCTCAGTTCTGGGCATCGGAAAATGCCTACAGCTTTTCCCATTATCTTTTCCTCTGCCTGTCTCCTCAAGTTTTCTCCAGGGCTTCAGAGGAACTAGGTGCTCTCTCTTGGCCTGGGTTGCATGGAACCCTAGTGGGAAGGTGAATCACAGCAGGAGACTCTGCTTCCTCATGTACTGGTGCTTCTCTCACTTTTATCAGCTGAATGCCATCACGGGGCTGCTTGCCCACTTTCTCCTCCCTGAGATCTGGGTTGTTGCTCACTATTCCAGTGAATTCTCATTTTCCTTCTTGAATTAAAGCTCAAAGAGTTTATCTTTATGCACTGTTTTGCTATTTCCAAGTGGCTGAGACATGCTAAAAGCCTCTAGTACGCCATCCTGGGGAAAAAAAGGTTTTATTAGCTTTTTTTGGAGCTGTTGTGATCTCCTGATCCCTTATAGTCTTCAAGTCCTTGCAGTAATGTCTACATTCGTAGAGACAGCCACTCCTCTGGCTTTTATAGGTATTTTTTTGGCAGAGATAGGCCTTGCCTATTTAGTCTAGCCTATGATTCTAGATGGGCCAGATGGTAACAACCCTGGGCAGGCAGGGCTTGTTTTAGGCTCTCTACATGGCTGGGCTGCTGCCCCTGCTCTGATTTTAGGTGAGACTGCTCGCTGGACTCCCTCTGCAGTGAAACCACTGGCTGAGCTCTGCAATTGAAGAGAGCTGCAGGGTGGCCACTACAGTTGCCTTTGACTGGGCCAGGCCACAGAATGTGACTCTGCAATTGGCCACAGCTGCTGGATGGCCACTGCAGTTGCCCCTGATTGGACCTGGCCAATCAGATCTCACTGGGTCTGGCCTGGTATTCCTTGACCAGGTGGTACTGCTATTTGATATTTGTAATTGGACAAGGTTGCAGACTGGGCCCTGAAACTAGGCAGAGTCACTGCTTGGGATGGATGGGACCAGTTTCTATGCTCAGTAGCAATGACAGGTTGAGGTTTGCTTCCCTACCTAGGTCGGGTGGGCTTTGAGGCTGAGCTGAAAGCTCCCAGTGTAACAGAACTAGTTCTGGCACTTGCTGTAATGCGCTGTGGCAAGTTGTCTACCTCTCTGGGCAGGTGACATTCTTCATTTATCAAACTAATTCTACTATCGTATTGGATACCAAGTCAGTCACTTGCCACTTTAATTTGAATAGTTTAGATCAGTGAGATTTTTGTAGTATTGTGTATTTGCATTTAAGCTCTATGTGGAATAGAATATAGATGTCCTTTATTGAAGTAATTTTAGATGTCAGGAAGAAAAGATTTCCCCTCTTTTTCTAGGTTTTTTTTCTCTTTTCCCTTACTTTTCAAGAGAAGAATGGTTGTCACATCATTTACAGTCAATGTAATATAAGAGGTTAACCTCTCTGGAGAAAATATTGACACTTTTATACTTTAATAAGAATATCTGATATAGTTGTAGGAAGAATGGCATCATAATAGGCTGTGGAAGAAAAGGTAGAATGGAGAGATTTTTGAAGACCTCAACTTACATCTAACTCACAGTTGAACAACTATTTATGATCTGTCTCTTTTTAACTTTAACTTTTATCTTATCCCAAGACAATTATATATAGCTCAAATTATAAAACTGACCCTAATCTTAACTCTACCTGCAAATTCAACTCCAACTCTAACCATGAACACTATATTAATGTACACTGATGTGCGTTCATTTATTTCTGACTGATATATATTGATATAATCAATTGATGATTGATTAGAATGAATCATACTTTGCTGATGGGGTATAATTTGAATTTTAACAAACAATTTTTCTGGAAAACTAGTTGAAATACATATTCATGTTTTTATATTATAGAAACTATGGTATATTTACAGCCTTTTAATCATGTATATAAAGAATTTTTATTGATTAAAGTAATCAATAAATGTAATACATCATAAATACTAAATCATAAATATTATCTTGAAAAACTCAAGAGTAAATGCTTAGTAAATATTGCTAGATATTTATGGGCTTATAGGTGATGTTTCTTTTCTCTCTCTCTCCCTTTTCTCTTTTTTCCATATTTTTCTAATATGTACAAATTAATTTTGTAATCAGAAAAATAATAGGAGAAGATGGCATTGCAATTATGAAAAAAGTAGAAGCTAAATTATATATCAGTTGGGTTTTATATAAAGACAGAATGCAGACTTCAAGTAAATGCAGAGTTTAGTTGATTCATCAAACGTTTATATGGGTAGGAAATCTATATTTATACTTCCCTATAATCCCTTTGACAAGAAAACTTTTTTTTGGTAAACTTATTCTTGTTGAAATTTAGTCAAGAACAAAGATAGACTGGGCATGATGGCTCACACCTGTAATCATAGAAGTTTGGGAGGCTGAGGCAGGAGGAGTGTTTGAGTCCAAGAGTTCAGACCAGCCTGAGCAACAATGAAACATCATCTTTACAAACATTTAAAAACAAAACTAAACTAAACAAAAAAACAGGCATGGTGGCATGCACCTGTAATCCTAGTTACTCAAGTGGTTGAGGCAGGAGGATTGCTTGAACCCAGGAGGTCAAGGCTGCAGTGAGCTATCATTATGCCACTGCGCTCCAACCTGGGAAACAGAATGAGATCCTGTCTCTACAAATTAAAATTATAACAATAATTTCTGGTGTTGTACTTCTGATCAAATACTGCACATGCTCAAGCACATTCTCTGACAGTAGAAAACATCCCAATCATGTGTCATTATTACAGAAGTAAAAATTAATTTTTCTGATGCTTTATTATAGAAAGATACATATTGCCTTAATGACTGAAGAAGTAATGCAAATTTTCCTTTTTTAAGAATAAGTAGATAGGAGAGGATGGGGTAGGGTTTAGAGACAGAGGAGGAGGAAGTTTCTTTACTCTTTAGGACACCTAATATATCACTAAAATAATGTCATACTGACTTATAAAAATAGATCACAAATGCTTTCACTTTCTAAAACTTAGGGCATTCATTTGGATACCATACATTGATAGAAGCAAAACCAAGTCAAATATTAACACAAAATACATTATTAAAAATTTATTCATTTATTAAGTCAACTTTGAAATTTAGTTTTTCAATATATTGCCAGAATTGATATAGAGGTTTCATAATAACTCCTTCCTGCCTCATTCATATGTTGATATATTCTACTTACTTTTCAGATTTCTATTGAGGGCAAAATCCCAAGTTATTAAATGGAAATCAGTCATGTTATCATGCAAACTATTCTCTTACTAAAAATGACTGAAATTTTCTATAAACTTTCTTAATTTTTTTTCATTATAAAAGATACATAATTCCCAAGTAAGATTAGGGACACTAAGTCTAATATCTTTTTCATCATGTACTCAGCTTATGTAATTTTAGTAATCTAATACATGTAAATATAAGTAATATGCCTTTATGCTGCCTTAAAAATATTCAAAGTTGTGCACTTATTTAAGAGCAAGAATCACATCATCTTTCTAGAGCCTTCTTTGGACACAATGCAACACACTGAATAATATTGAATGACTATGTCTTGTATAATTACTAGAAATTAGGTTCACACTAAATATACTGCTCCAAGATTTGTTTGAAATTTTATTCTTTCTTTTTTTAATCTGCTTTCTACTTGTATCTTTATTAAAACTCTAAGATTATTCATTAGAAACTTTGTCCATAATAAATTATAAAATCACCTTTGAAATTAGGTGGTGACCTTCTCATTGCAAATCCGAGTGAATCAATAGGAAACTTCGAAGAAATATTTTAATGCAGATACTATAATAAACAATAAGAAAAACCTATTATATCTGTTCAAACACTCTTTTAACTCAGAGATTTGACATAGATGTGAAATATTGTTGTAGAAATAAATCAAAAAACAAATAATGAAATCTGCTGTTTCCTTTGTGGTGTGCATTTTAAAAAGTGGTTGAAAGTAAAATATTTTTGAAAATTTTATCCAGAATTGTTTTAAAAAACTAAGACACAAAAGAGGGAGAGTTGTTTATGTTTTACCCATCACAGTTGGTTGTGAATACAACTGTACAAGTCTGGTGTTCTTATTCTAACTCAGCTTTGAGAGGCTATAAAATTTCCCTTGAAATGTGTTCAATAAGGCCAAAGAGCACAATGTTTAGATTTCCCTGTTTATCCTTCCCATAGCACCCTAGCTGTCTCCAAGGACAAAACATCTTTGGTGCTTCACTACAGCTATTAAGTTATTTTTTGTAGCTTTAAAATGTCAATTCCAACAAAGCATTAACATCCTGAAGAAGCTTCTTTCAATTTCTCACTTGCCCATGTCTTTCATTCCTGATGCTATCTACCCCAAAGATTTTTGAACTAACTACCTATAAAGCACACATTTATAAAAACATTTGTAAAGTGAATGTTTTTTAAAAAAAGACTGTCACCTTCTATAACAATCTTTGTAGCTTCTCTTCTCTGTGCAGCTCTGACATTTCAGTAATTGCTTCAACCTTAGTGCAGCCGGGCTTTGTGCTTTTCCTAGATGAAACATTTCCTTGACTCCTTATTTTAGAACTTCTCTACTTTGATTATTAAGGCACTAAGTTTCTCTTCCTTGGCCAACGCTGCTTTTAGCCTGTCAACATGTCTGAATCAAGTTTTTCCTCAGTGAACAGGGGAATCTCATGGTGAAAAGTGGTTCTACCATTTCTTGTCTTTTAAGGCTCGTTCTGGATGAACTAAACATACCTGTGGAAGTGTTTTTCCTGTTTTTTGTTTGTTTGTTTGTTTTGTTTTGTTTTAAATTTAATGAAGTAGATTGACATTTTGTAAAAACTACAAAGCTACTGAAAAGACATAGCTATAATATGCAGATCAGATGTTAGTGTCTTCTTTATGATTTGTGGATAGTCAGGATTGTTTCAAATTGAAATAAAATCCTGCAAGTGAATGTTGATGTTTGAGGAGGAAATAAGCCAAAACAAAACAAATGAATAAGAAGTCACCTCTATTATCTTTGTTTAGGGCAGCAGACACTTTCGAGTTTTTCTGTTACCTGTTTCAGAGGTGGGATGGGGTGGAAATACAGAAGACTTAGATTCAGTGCATTTCAAAGAGGATGCTATGGTCTGAATGTTTGTGGTCCTCAAAAAGTCATATGTTGAAACTTAATCACCAATGCGATAGTTTAAGGAGGTGGGGCTGTTGGTTGGTGATCAGGTCATGAGGCCTCCATCAATCATTATGGCAGAAAAGAGGCAGCTAGGGGATTGAACAGACAATTCATTGTGCCCATGTACAAAACTGACACATTTCTCTTCTACTCACATTTTATTGGCCAATGCAGTAATGTCAAAATGGGAAAAGCTCCTTTGTACCCCTCGCAGGGTGTGCAATGGGGGTGTGGCTTGCTTCTTCAGTGCCTCACTGCTCACACCTCTAGGGGAGCATACAGACAGCAGGCTTCGGGGCTTTGAGACCACAGCAGTGTCTAGGGGTGGATGTTTACAGCTCCTGAAGCCCCAGTGGGTGTGTGTTACAGAGTGCCCTTTTAGTTTAGCCATCCGTAGGTGGCTTGGGTTAGTCAGCTCAGTTAGACTTTCTACCTTGTTACAAGGACAGAGGGCTTTTTGTATCCCGGGTTCTTGCCTTGGTGTACTGGAAGAATCAGATCACACATCAGCTTGGAGAATGAGTGCAAGGTTTTATTGAGTGGAAGTAGTTCTCAGCAGATGGGAGAGCCAGAAAGGAGATGATTTTCCCTTGGAGTTGGGCCACTTAGCTGCCCAAGCTCTCCTCCAACTGCCCTGGCCAAACTGCCTTGTTCCACAAGTCAATGGCCTGCTGGCATGCCAGTGTGCTCCTATGCCGGTGTGCTCCTATCCTGGTGTGCTTCTATGCCGGTGTGTTCCTCTCGATGTCCAGCTGTCTGTGTGTTCCTCTGCTGGTGTGCTCCTCTCGACATCCAGCCACCTATGTGTCTGCCTGCTACAGTCTCAGAGTATTTATAGGCACAGGATGGGGGCATGGCAGGCCAGGGTGGTCCTGGGAAATGCAACATTTGGGCACCAAGGCAGGAGTGCCTGTACTCACCTAGGTTTGTAGGCACAGGCCTGGGGTGGAGCCCTAGTCAGGGACCACGCCCTCCTCTACCCAGTACTTCCCTTCACCCCTTCTCCATCATTTTAAAGAACCATGCCCTTCCCTTCCCAGAACTTCTGTATCAACATGACAGGCTAAATTAAAGAGGTGAGGAAGTGCAATTCTCCATTCATAAGGAGAAGAGATAATGGAAACAGTAGAAATGTCTACATCTTTTATGTAACCTACTAAACTCTATTTACAAGTATCTTATGACTCATAATGGAAGACACTTAATACAAAAATGATCACATTAAAAGACTTTTAGCCCTATTCTCTCTGCTAAATAATTCCAACTCTTCTCAATCTCTATTATAATCTCAACTTCTAAACTTTTTAAAAAATTTGTATAAATTTAAGCAGTACAAGTGCAGTTTTGTTACATGGGTATATTGTGTATTAGTAAAGCCTGGGCTTTTAATGTAACCATCACCCAAATAGTTTTTCTTCATTATTTTTCTGTACTCCTCTTTGAAAGCTAGATGTTAATTTATATAGCAAAGTGAGAAGGTAGAAAAGCAGAGTAATAGGAAAGCAGGTAAGATTCATATTCAAATCCCAGCTCTAAAATTCACTAGCTGTGTGGTCTTGGACCCATTACTTAATCTCTCTAAACTCAGCTTCCTCAGCTGAAATTTAGGGTGACCTATTATTAAGGTTTTGCAAAGAACAATTAATGTTTGTGAGCTCCTAATACAGTGCCTAGTACATAATAAGTACTGAATAAATGAACTAACTTCAGAGATGGGCACATATCCAGGACAATATATCTTTCCTTTTTTTTTTCTGTGAATAACTCTTGTTCTAGACGCAAAACATATAATTTCATTTATGCTATTTGTTAAAAGTTTGACTTTTGTTCTGAGCCTGTGAAGAGATGCTAGTAAGTAATTAAAGTGTGGAAAGTTGTGTGGTGTTTCTATTAAAAGCAGAGCCAATGGCACTAACACAATTTTCAAGTTATAGACTTGACACAGTTACTACAAAGACATTGATTCTGCTTCTCAGGCACCTCATTTTACAATGCACTGTTGTGGTTTAATTCTTAAAGTGCATATTCCATATTACACTTGGATTTTAAAACTTTGATAAAATTAAGTACAATAGAATTAATGTAAACTCTCTTTTAACTTCAACTACTGTGATCTACAAGAAAGATTTTTAAAATAGTATATTTATTATTTCATATTCTTATAAGCAGGAATTTCAATGTTAGTCCCAAATGCATTGCTATGTTCCACTTTTATATTATAAAAATAATATGGAAGGCAAAGCTGATCTGTGTATTTCCAGACTCACAATAAAAAGGTAATTTCTCATGAGTGATGGTTTTACTAGAGACCACAGTTTTCATAAAACATCTGGATTACAATAGCTAAACGGGTTCCAATTTTTCTTAGATGTAAATACAATATCCATATGTAGCACAACATGAAGATTTTCAGCTTTTCTTTCTTTTCATCAGCCTCTGAAGTCTCTGAATAAATCAAGAACTGTTTACATTTTCTTCACTGTTCAGCTTCGTTTCCATCTAGTTTAACATGTGTGGTGAACGTAATGTATTCATTTTTTTCAAGAAAATTCTCTATTTTTCTGACACCATGCATGATTCAGCAAGACACCATCAGAGTCAATAATAGCTCGGGTGAACTGCCTTCTTATCTCAGTTAGACTTCCTGAATACACTCTTATAAAGTAGCCTGCACGTTTTCTCTCTCATGACAATGATCAATTATATAATGGTTCCATACAGCTTTTATCTCAAATCATCCCATCCTAGGTAACATAATCTTCTTTTGGAAAGAATTTGAAGATATATATATATATATATATATATATATATATATATATATATATGCATATATATATCAGAAGCTATCATTCTGTACATTTGACCTTAATATAATTCCTCCTAAGCCTCCGTTTAACCTACTTCTGGAACCACTAAAGTCCTTTAAACTAGCAAAGTGGGCTGCTGATCCCTCAATGCTGTTCTCCGTAATCACATCAGGCAGTCCTTGCTTATGTCTAATCTCTGATTGCTACAAATCTTGCTCAACTTCAAACCCTTGGTTCTGTATTTCCAAGTTTAATCATATTTCTGGTTCTAAGGATTTAGTAGAAATCTTTGCTTTTACCAGCACACTCATATGAAAGAAACTCTTGCTCTGTCTACCCATATCTTCTTGATGTTTACACAGTCATGCTCTAACACTAACCACTAGATCATACCATTGCAGGTATTACAAAATAAGACATCCACGTGGAGGAACTACAGAATACACAATGAATATTTTTTGGGGGGAGATATGCCCCCAAATATATGATATGCCCAAAATAATAGCCTACTTTCCACTCAAATTTGAGAACAGCAAAAATATTGCCTGCTCGTTGTGGCAATAGATTGAGGGGTTATTATGTGCCTAGCACTGAGTTAAGTGCCAGGGATACAGTGATGGCTAAGAGAGACATGATTCCTGTCTCCTCAGGACCTACTTACAGTTTAATGGGTAAGATGGATAATTAAACATGAGGTTACAATGCCATGTGATAAACTCTATGTTAATTTGTTGGTGAATGCATGGAATGACCATGTGCCTGTTTCTAAAGAACAATTACATAAACTTGGTCCTGAGAGGCAATTAGGTATTAACAGAGTGAAGTGGTGGGCTTGCAGTAGAGGGTGACAGAGGTTAATAATCCAGGCAGAGGGAACATCATATGCAAAGGCACTAAAGATTTTGGTTCATTCGATTCCATTGAATTGAAGTTTTGTTGCAGAAGATACTAAAATTATCACATAGCCTAAATATTATATTTTGCCACTTTAAGATGCAGCATATTGGATTGAGAACAATTGTGATGTCAGAACCTATAAAATTGTTAGATTAGCTTTGCCACTGAGCAGGTACAGAGATGTGAAGTGACTTTCTATTGCCTCAGTTTGCTCATCCTCACCCTGCCATCTTGTCCTGTTATAAGAAAATGCGCTTACATACTTTTTGGTGTCACAGAATTAGAATGAACACATCTGTCGAGAATTGATTCATTTTCTTTCTAGTTGAGATGTATACCATGCACTGGGTGATGAAGCTTTGGTATGCATGCTGGGCAAGAATAAGTAGTCAGCTACTCCCTGAAGTGTGAATTCCCTCTCCATGGCAACGAAAACTCTCTGCCATTAGAAAAGTGGGCTTTTGTGTGTACATATACACAAAATATTTTTTATGTTTACATATCTCAGAAAAAGTACTAAAGATGAGGCACTTTTTAAAATTAAAAACTTGTCTTTGAGTTTAAAAAAAAAACTAAATGTAGCAGATTTAACATTTTCTGTTGTTCCACAATTAGTCAACAAAAATCAAAGTTGAGGAAAAGAGATGAGAATTACTCTAAATTCTATAGAGAATTGCAAATGATTTGGATTAGACATCACTTCCAATTAATAGAATATGGAAAATGTCACTTCCAAGATTAGGTTATGAAAAAGTGCTGACTTTGTTTGCTTACTCTCTCTCATTATTTCTCTTGCTTACCTTAAGCGAAACCAGCTACCATGTTGTGACCTGCGTGGACAGGTCCATGTAATAAAGAACTAATGTCTATAGTCAACAACTCAAGAGAGATCTTGAGGCCTGCTATTCTGGGTTGAATTTCATCCCACCACCCCCTAAATTCATATGTTGAAGACCTAATTCCTAGTACCTCAGAATGTGACTGAATTTGGGGGCTGAGTATTTACTGAGGTACAGTCATATATGGCTTAATGATAGAGACACATCTGAGAAATGCCTTCATGCATTGATTTTGTCATTTTGTAAATATCATAGATCTTTCTATGCATCATAGATCAAATATTTCAGAGATACATTTTACACAAGCTAGATCACATTTCTCAGTTGTATCTTACACAAGCTAGATGATATAGCCTACTACACACCTGGGCTATATGGTATAGCCTATTCCTCCTAGGGTATAAACTTGTACAGCATCCTGTTCAGTTCCTGTAATGAATACTGTAGGAAATTGTAACACAATGGTATTTGTGTATCTATACACATCTAAACATAAAAAGGATACCATAAAGTACAATATTATAATTGTATGGGACCTCTGTTGCTTATGTGGTCTGTTGTTGACCAAAATGTAGTTATGCAGTGAATGACCAATTAAGTTAAAATGGGTTATTAAGGTGAGTTTAATCTAACATACCTGATATTTTAATAAGAAGAGAAAATTTGGACACAGACAAAGAGAAGACAATGTGAAGGTATAGGAAGACAATGGCCATCTACAAGCCATGGAGTCTTGGAACAAACCCCTTTCTCATGGCTCTCAGAAGAAACCAATCCTATCAACACCTTGATCATGGTCTTCTACCCTTTGGGAATCATTATAAAATAAATTTCTGTTGTTTAGACTACCCAATCCGTGGACTTTGTTATAGCAACCCACGCAGACTAAAATATCTGCCAACAACCATGTGAGCTCACTCACTCACATGGTTAGTGAGCTCTTTTGAGGCCTGTCAACACCCAGGTGAGCGTGCTTGAAGGAAACTTCTCTCCCAAGTTGAACCTTTGGAAATGGTTACAGACATACCGGAAACAGGTAGGCCCAGAATGGGAATCTAGAGTGAGTGAAAATTGAGGATGGTTTGGGCTTAGTGTAAAGGTAGAAGTGAATTCATCCAAAGTGCTGATGGATATTTAAATCTAAAGTTTAAGAGTGAAGCCAGTTCATATTGATATAAATATCTAAATTATGAGGATACATTTCTGAGCTAGAAAATACATATCATGAAAATCAATGTGGCAATAATAAAGCTTTGGAAAATATGCAGTTTGCAGTTTTAGTATTATAGTGGGAGAGAGGAACCATCAGGAAGCCAAGGAAAGAAAAATCCCAGAGGTTACATTTGTCTTGAAACCAAGAGGAAATGACTTCATCTTAAAATTAACAAAATAAAAGAATCATCTAAGAGATTTCTGTTTTTGTTTTTTTGTTGTTGTTTGTTTGTTTGTTTTTCCCAGATGAGAATGTATACCAGAGAAGTCTTTTATAAACCTCATTTTCCTCACCTTCCATATTTCATCAGTCACCTTCAATGGTACCATATTTCTTTCAGGCTCCATTTTAATCTCAACCTGGACTTCACACCCTTTTATCTGTTGTCCAGGGCCAAGCTTATAGGGTTTCGCTGTGTGCCCACCCAGAATCTCATCTTGAATTTTAATAATCCCCATGTGTCAAGGGCGGGACCAGGTGGAGATAATTCTATCATGGGAACAGTTTCTCCCATACTGTTCTCATAGTGCGTGAGTTCTCATGAGATCTGATGGCTTTATAAAGGGCTTTTCCCTTCATTCAGCTCTCATTCTTCTCCTTGCTGCCACTATGTGAAGAAGGATGTGTTTGCTTCCCCTTCTACCATGCTTGTAAGTTTCCTAAAGCCTTCCCAGCCATGCTGAACTGTGAGTCAATTAAACCTCTTTTCTTTATAAATTACCCAGTCTCGGGTATGTCTTTGTTAGCAGCATGAGAAGTGACTCATACAGTAAACTGGTACTGCAGAGAGTGGGGTGCTGCTATAAGGCTACCCAAAATGTGACCCGTAAATGTTCCAAAGCAACTTTGGAACTGGGTAACAGGCAGAGATTTTAACAGTTCAGAGGGCTTAGAAGAAGGTAGGAAAATGTGGGAAAGTTTTGAACTTCTTACAGACTTGGAGGGCTCAGAAGAAGATAGGAAGATGTGGGAAAGTTTGGAACTTCCTAGAGACTTTTTGAATGGCTTTGACCAAAATGCTGATAGTAATGTGGACAGTGAAGTCCAGGCTGAGGTGGTCTCATATGGAGATGAGAACTTGTTGAGAAATGGAATAAAGGTAGCTCTTGCTATGCTTTAGCAAACAGACTGGTGGCATTTTGCCCCTGCCCTAGAGATCTGTGGAACTTTGAACTTGAAAGAGATGATTTATGGTATCTGGCAGAAGAAACTTCTAAGCGGCAAAGCATTCAAGAGGAAGCAGAGCATAAACGTTTAGAAAATTTGCAGGCTAATGATGCAATAGAAAAGAAAAACCCATTCTGGGGGATATATTTTAAATATTGCTAGGCCGTCAAAACAACTACAGATTGATGCATGTCCTTAATTTTCCTAAGTCTTATGTGAAGTCTAGGCAGAGCAGCCACTCAGGCACTCCCAGAGCCCCAGGAGCTTTAAATACCCGGGCTTCCCAGCAAAAGAGGCTGCAACTCTGGCAAAGTAGAAGGTTAAACTCACATACATACCCCTAGGGTTGAATCCAGGGGGCTGCACAGTGACGTCTATAGGCCCCACTTCCACAACACCTCGCAGGATAAGACACACTGGCTTGGAACTCCAGCCAGCCATGGGTGACTACATTACAGCTCCCTGAGGTGGAGCTCCCAGAGGGACAGGTGGGCCACCATCTTTGCTGTTTAACTGACTTAGTCATTGTTGCCTTGGGGCTCTGGGGAATCTGAGACAACTAGGGACTGAAGTGGTCCCCTGTCACAGTACAGCAGCTCTGTGGAGAGATGGCCAGACTCTAGTCCTAGATCTTGGTTCTCTTCACTAGGTGCAGTCTCCAGACTGAGGTGAGGTCTACAACCACCCTCATCAATTTTTTCCAGCCAGCAGCAGTTCCAAACCACCTTGGAATGGAGCTCCCAGAGAGAGTGGCCAAGCTCCATCTTTGCTGTTTCTCAGCCTTAGGTGCTGTTGCTTTCAGGCTTTGGAGAGTCCGAAGCAACTAGGGGCTGGAGTGGACCCTCAGCACAGCACAGCTGCTCTCTAAAAAGTGACCAGACTGCTTTTTTATGCGAGTCCCTAATCCTGTTTCTCCTCACTGGGTGGGACCTGCCAACTGGGGTCCCCAACCACCCTGGGCAGTGGGTTCAGGTGGGTGACAGGTTTGTGCCTCCCTGGAGTGGAGCTCCCAGAGGAAGGGGCAAGCTGCCATTTTTGCTGTTTCGTAGCCATCACTGTTGATATAGCCTTTAGGTACTGGAAAATCTGAGGCGACTATGGACTGGAGCAGACTCCCAGTGAACTGCAGCAGCCCTAAGGAGGTGGCCAGACTCTTTGTTTTGTGGGTCCCCAATCCAGTATCTCCCTACTGGGTGAGTTCTACCAGCACTGCAGTGGCAGTGGCAGAGGGGCTTTCAATTGCCCCTGGGGGCTCCACCTCAAGGAATTTGGAGCCACTGTTACTGGGAGTGTTCAGCCAGTGAGGTGAAGCAGCTGCCCTGCTGCCATAAGCTTGGGGGCCTGCTTGCTGGGGAGCTTGTTGGGTCTCCAGCCACACCCTCTAGGGCTATTGAGCCTGTAGCAGCTCTGCAACTCCCTGTGACAGAGCTCCCAGTGTGGGCGTGGGGGATGCCATATTTGCTGTTTCATAGCCCTAGTCCTTGCTGTCTCCAGGCTCCGGAGAGTCCTTGGGGACCAGGGTTTGGTCCTGACCTCCAGCACAGAGCAGCCACCTCACAGAAAAGTGGTCAGACTGTTCCCCATGGAGGCCTGACTTCTAGGGGAGACCCAACAAGCTCCCCAACGAGCAGGGCCCCAAGCTTATGCCAGCAGTGCGGATGCTCCACCTCACTGGCTGAACACTCCCAGTAACAGCGGCTCCAAATTCCTTGGAGGTGGAGCCCCCAGGGGCAATTCCTCACTTCTCACTGGGCAGGGCTGCCTGATATGGGACTCCATCACAACCACCCTGCCTGTAACTCACCACTTCAATCAGAGGCAGCCCAGCATTTCTCTGAAGAGGAAACCCAGAGTCAACCAACAACCCTTCTGGCACTGCAGTTACAGTGGTATTTATTACCCTAACAGTCCTTGGGATGGGGAAAGAACAAAGAACAAAGTGCGTAGTCACTACGCTGACACCTCCAGCACACTGCAGCCACCATTTGGAGAGGAGTCCAGCCCCTCTTCGCCAGTTGGGACTCCTGGCTCATGACTGTGGACCAGTCACCCTACACGGCTGAGCATACTCACTTCTAGTGGCCCAGAGTTTTCCTAGAAAGAGGCTCCCAGAGGCATTTGACAACTCCTCTGCCACTGCCACAGCAGCACTTTAATCCCTGCTGCCCTTGGGGAAGAAACAAAGAGCCTAGGGCTACACTGAGCTTACAGCAACCCACAATTATGATACTGAGAGGAGATCAGTCTCTCCTCCTGGTGAGCCTTTGACCCCCTCCTCCCCAACAAGCAGGGCCCCAAGCTCATGCCAGCAGTGCAGCTGCTCCACCCCACTGGCTGAACACTCCCAGTAACAGCGGCTCCAAATTCCTTGGAGGTGGAACCCCCAGTGGCAATTGAAAGCCCCTCTGCCACTGCCACTGCAGTGGTACTACCCCTGCTACCCTCAGACTAACAAAGGAGCAAAGACCATAAGTATCTGTCCACACCTCCAACAAGTAGCAGTTGATCCAAGGATAGGAGGCCGGTCCATCTTCCATGGGTAACACCCACTCCCACTGTTCATAAATAGGCAGGGAACCGCTGGCTCGGGTCCACAGCACAGGACCCCCATCTTGGGCTAATCACGCTGAGTGGTTGCTAACCTGAATCTCCTGGGGTGGAGCTCCCAGGAGACAAGTAAAAGACCTTCAGCCACAACCACTGCTAAGGTCCCTTCCTCTGCTGCCTCCAAGTTGGGGAGAAAACATAAACCCTGAGATTATACCAGAGATATGATGGGAAGCCCAGGAGTACTAAGCTGTGATCTATGTCCAGCACTCAAATGGGAGGAGAGCCCACACTGTCAGAGCACCAAGAGGGAGAACAACTGCAAATGTGAGGAAATATAGGGGAGCCACACAACTGAGCAAAAGCCTACCAACTGACCGCTACACTTAAGTGCCACCTACTGGATCACACCTCAAAGCTTCAACACCAAAACTACCTCACTAGCATAACCCCCTGTGAAACCAAATATAAGTCAGCTGCAAATAAAGACCCTGTACAAAGGCTCAGTCCTGTGAAGATTCAGAAAATAAGCCTACTGACTGTACTCAATGTATATGACATTTAAAGAAATACCCACATTCAGAGATGAGAAACAAACCAATGCAAGAACTCCAGCAACTAATCGGCCAGAGTGTCTTATGTCCTCCAAACAACTGCACTAGTTCTCCAACAAGCATTCTTAACTAGGGTGAGTTTGCTGAAAATACAGAACTGGAATTCAGAATATGGATAAGAATAAAAATCAAAATTCAGGAGAATACTGTAACATAATCCAAGGAAACTAAGAATCACAATAAAACAATACAAGAGCTGACAGACAAAATAGGTAGTATAAAAAAGAACCTAAATTATCTGATAGAACCAAAAAACATACTACAAGAATTTTGCAATGCAATTGCCAATATTAACAGCAGAGGGAACCAAGCTGAGGAGGAATCTCAGAACTTGAAGTTTCGCTGTCTGAAACAATACAGTCAACAAAAATAAAAAAGAACAGAAGGGAACAAGCAAAACATTTGAGACATAGGAGATTATGTAAAGAAGCCAAATCTACAAATCATTAGCATCCCTGAAAGTGACAGGGAGAAAGCAAACAACTTGAAAAACACATTTCAGGATATTATCCATGAGAACTTCCCGAACCTAGCTAGGGAGGCCAATATTCAAATTCAGGAAATGCAGAAAACCTCTGGCTTGGGCCCATTCAAAAATAGATCATCCTCAAGATACATAATCATCAGATTCCCCAAGGTCAAAATGAAAGAAAAAATAATAAAGGCAGTAAGAGAGAAAGGACAGGTCACCTGTAAAGGGAAGCTCATCGAACTAAAAGCATACCTCTCAGCAGAAACCCTGTAAGACCGAAGAGATTGCAGGCCTATATTCAGTATTCTTAAAAAGAAAAGTAACTCCAACCAAGACTTTCATATCCAGCCAAACTAAACTTCATAACTGAAGGAAAAATAAGATCCTTTTCAGCCAAGTAAATGCTGAGGGAATTTTTTTTTTTTATCACCAGACATGCCTTACAAGAGCTCCTAAAAAAATTACTAAATCTTGAAAGTAAAGCCCATTACCAACCACTACAAAAACACACTTAAGTACACAGACCAGTGATACTATAAAGCAACCACACAAACAAGTTGACATAATAAACAGCTAATAACACAATGACAGGATCAAATCCACACATATCAATATTAACCTTTAATGTAAACATGCTAAAAGCCCCAATTAATAGGTAGAGAATGGCAAGCTGGATAAAGAAGCAAGATCCAATTGTATGCTATCTTCAAGAGATCTAACTCACATGCAATGACACCCAGGCTCAAAATAAAGGGATGGAGGGAAATCTGCCGAGGAAATGGAAATCAGAAAAAAAGCAGAGGTTGCAATCCTAACTTCAGACAAAACAGACTTTAAACTAACAAAGATCAAAAAAAGGCAAAAAGGGCATTACATAATGGTAAAGGATTCAATTCAACAAGAAGACCTAACTATCCAAAATGTATATGCACCCAACACGAGATCACCCAGATTCATAAAGTAAGTTCTAAGGACCTTCAAAGACACTTATATTCTCACACAATAATAGTGGGAGACTTTAACACCCCACTGACATTATTAGACAGATCATTGAAGCAGAAAATTAACAAAGATATTCAGGATCTGAACTCAACATTGGACCAAATGGATATGATAGATGTGTACAGAACTCTCCACCCTGAGACAACAGAATATATATTCTTCTTATTGCCACATGACACATACTCTAAAATTGACCACACGCTGAAACATGAAACAATCCTCAACAAATGCAAAGAACCGAAATGACACCAAACACACTCTCAGACCACAGCAGAATGAAAATAAAATCAAGACTAAAAAATTAATCAAAACTATACAATGACAGGAAATTAAACAACCTGATCCAGATGACTTTTTTTGGGTAAATAATTAAGGCAGAAATCAAGAAGTTCTTTGAAGCTTGTAGAACAAAGATGCAACATGCCAGAATCTCTGGGATATAGCTAAGGCAGTATTACTAGGGAAATTTATAGTACTAAATGCCCACACCAAAAAGTCAGGAAGATCTCAAATTAACAGCCTAATATCACAAGTAGAAGAACTAGAGAAGCAAGATCAAACCAACTCCAAAGCTAACAGAAGATCACAAATAACCCAAATCAGAGTTGAACTGAAGATCAAGGCACAAAAGTGTATTAAAAAATTCACCAAATCCAGGAGATGGTATTTTGAAAAATATAATAGATAGGCCACTTGCTAGACTAACAAAGAAAAGAGAGAAGATCCAAATAAACACCATCAGAAATGATAAAGGAGATTTTACCACTAACCCCCCAGAAAAACACATAACAATTATAGGCTGATATGAACACCTCTATGCACACAAACTAGAAAACCTAGAAGACATGGATAAATATCTGGACACATACACCCTCCTGAGACTGAAGCAGAAAGAAATTGATTCCCTGAGCAGACCAATAATGAGCTCCAAAATTGACTCAATAATAAATAGTCTGCCAAGCAACAAAAGGCCCAGGACTAGGCAGATTCACAGCCAACTTCTACCAGATGTACAAAGAAGAGCTGGTAATATTCCTACTAAAACTATTTCAAAAAATTGATGAGGAGGGACTGCTTCCCAACTCATTCTGTGAGGCCAGCATCACCGTGATACCAAACCCTGGCAGAGACAAAACAAAAAAGAAAACTTCAGGCCAGTATACTTGATGAACATCTGTGCAAAAACACTCAAGAAAATACTTGCAAACTGAATCCAGCAGCACAACAAAATGCTAATCCACCACAATCAATTAGACTTTATCCCTGGGATGCAAGGTTGGTTCAACATACACAAATCAATAATGTGATTTATCACATAAACAGAACTAAAGATAAATATTACATGATCATCTCAATAGAAGCAGAAAAGGCTTTCAATAAAAAGCCTTTATTATGTTAAAAATAATATAGGCTTTATGTTAAAAAACTGTCAATAAACTAGGTATTGGAGGAACATACCTCAAAATAATAAGAGCCATTTATGACAAACCCAAAGCCAACATCATACTGAATGGACAAAGGCTGGAAGTATTTCCTTTGAAAACTGGCACAAGACATGGATGCCATCTCTCACCACTCCTATTCAACATAATATTGGAAGCCCTGACCAGAGCAATCAGGCAAGAGGAAGAAATAAAAGGAATCTAAATAGGAAGAGAGGATGCCAAACTATCCCTGTTTGCAGATGACATGATTGTCTAACTAGAAAATGCAATAGTCTCTGCCCAAAAGCTCCTTAAAATGATAAACACTTCAGCAAAGTTTCAGGATACAAAATCAACATGCAAAAATCACTGGCATTCCTATACACCCACAAAAATAAATATGAGTGCCAAATAAGGAATGCAATACCATTCACAATTGACACAAAAAGAAATAAAATACTTAGGAATACAGCTAACTATGGAGGTGAAATATCTCTAAAATCAGAATTACAAAACACTGCTCAAAGAAATAAGAGATGACACAAACAAATGGAAAGATTTCATGATGAAGATACTAAAAGCATGGCAACAAAAGCAAAAATTGGGGATCTAATTAAACCTAATTGTTTTCTGCATGGCAAAATAACTTATCAACAGATTAAATAGGCATATTACAAAATGGAGAAAATATTTGCAAACTATCCATCTGACAATGATCTAATAACCAGCATTTATAAGAAACTTAAACAAATTTGCAAGAAAAAAAGCAAACAACCCCATTAAAGTGTGGACAAAAACCATGAACAGCCTCTTCTCGAAAGAAGACATACCTGTGGCCAACAATAATATGAAACAAAAGCTCAACATCCCTGATCATTAGAGAAGTGCAAATTGAAACCATAATGTGATACCATCTCACACCAGTCATAATGGTTATTATTAAGTTGGTGCAAAAGTAACTGGTTTTTGCCGTTAGTTTTGCACCAACCTAATATTAAAAAGTCAAAAAATAACAGATGCTGGTGAGGTTGTGGAGAAAAGGGAATGCTTATACATGTTGATTGGAGTGTAAATTTCCTCAACCATTGTGGAAAGCAATGTGGCAATCCCTCAAAGAGTTAAAAAGAGAACTATTCCATCCAGCAATCCTATTGCTGAGTATATACACAAAGGAATATCAATTTTTCTACCATAAAGACGCATACATGTGTATGTTCATTCCAGCACTATTTACGATAGCAAAATATGGAATCAACCTAAATGCCCATCAGTGGTAGAGTGGATAAAGAAAATATGGTATGTCTACACCATGGAATACTATGCAGCCATAAAAAAGAACAAGATTATATCTTCTGCAGGAACATGGATGGAGTTGAAGGCCATCATTCTTAGCAAACTAATGCAGGAATAGAAAACCAAATATCACATGTTCTCATTTATAAGTGGGAGCCAAATGATGAGAACACATGGACATAAAGTGATACTGGAGCATACTTGAGGGTGGAAGGTGGAGGAGGGGGAGGATTAGAAAAAATAGCTATTGAGTATTAAGCTTAGTACCTGGGTGATGAAATAATCTGTACAACTAACCCCAGTGACAAGAATTTACCTATATAACAAACGTACACATGTACCCCTAAACCTAAAATAAAAGTTAAAACATGGAAAAAAAATAAATATTGTTTGTAATCCTACTACATGTTGGTAACCACCATAAACTTTTGGCCTTTATCTTTTCAGTATTTTTCTATATGTATGTAATTACCATCAGTCCTCTGTATTTGGTGGGTTCTACATCCATGTATTCAACCAACTGAGGATTGAAAATATTTTTAAAAAAGATAGTTCCATGGTTGCATTTATACTGAAAATGTACAGACTTTTTTTTCTTGTCATTCTCCAAACAATATAACAACTATTTATATAGGATTTACATTGTTTTATGTATTATAAATAATCTAGAGGCTATTTAAAGTATACAGGAGGATGTGCATGGGTTATATGCAAATACTACATGATTTTACATAAGGAACTTGAGCATTTATAGATTTTGGTATTCACAAGGGGTCCTGGAACCACTCCCTAAAGAAACTAATGGCCAATCCTCTTGATTTAATTATTTAATTTGGGATTATATTTTATATTGTATGATAACCTGCTTTTATCACTTAAAATTCATGCTGAAAATTTTACACATTTTCACATTTTTCCAGGCATGATTTTTAATAGCTACATAATAAATACTTGTATGGGTATACTCTAATTGGTATAATCTGTTTGCTACTATTGGTCATGAAGGTGATTTTCCTATATCATAGAAATCCTCATTTGTATTTTACCCTCTGTCATTGAGAGAAATTCCTAGAAGAGAATAGGAATATTCTTAAGGCATTTGATTTGTATTGTCAAATTGTTCTGCAAAAAAGTCGTATTACAAATTTGGGAAGAATTGGGGTATTTACAAAATGCATGCTTCCTAACAGAAACATACTAGGTCTCTCCATTTATTTAATTCAACTTTGGCGTTCTGAGGTAACATTTCTTTTCTTTCTTTCTTTTTTTTTTTTTTTTTTTGAGATGGAGTCTCACTCTGTTGCCCAGGCTGGAGTGCAGTGGTGCGATCTCAGCTCACTGCAATCTCTGCCTCCTGGGTTCAAGTGATTGTCCTGCCTCAGCCTCCAGGGTAGCTGAGACTATAGGCACATGCCACCATGCCCAGCTAATTATTTTGTATTTTTAGTAGAGACGGGGTTTCACCATGTTGGCCAGGATGGTCTTGATTTCTTGACCTTGTGATCCACCTGTCTCGGGCTCCCAAAGCGCTGGGATTACAGGCGTGAGCCACCGCACCCGGCCCTGAGGTAACATTTCATAGGTCTTAAAGGCTTTAAAAAAAATACAGGTTTTTCTACATTTTGTGTTAAGCTATGCATTTTTTATATTGTTCTTTGAGATAAAAATGTTCTTGCACTTTCTCTTTACAATCCAAACCCAGGACATCTTTTAAAATCTGAGCACAATATTAGGTACTCTAAAACTTAGCTTCTTAATCCTTTAATGGTGCAGTAGAGTTTCCCAACCCACAGCTCCTCAAATGACATGGGCAAACTATATTATTTCATATTGCTCCTTGTCTCTGTTCTCTCACTTCTGAAATCAAAGTTATAGAACTGAAACCTAATATTTTCAGTTAGAAAACACTCTTCTAAAGTTAGACAACAGTGTTGTTATTTTGCTTTAAAAAAAAAAAAAAACTAGAAAATGCCCTTCCCATATTACATGTTATGTATCAAAGGAAAATTTAAATCTTCAGATTTAAGAACTAGTAATCCACCCTGGAAGGGTACAATGAAAGGGAAATAGCATTTTCTTATACTTTATTCACACAATATTTCATTTTTCTCTATAATACCTATAATAATGCAAGCAAAATAGAAACACATGTTAAACAAATGAATAAATACTCTAGAAAGCTGGTGGTCACAATGATGCAATCTCCCACAGTGTATGTATATTTTCTCTTATAAGGAGGTTGGTCTTGTTAATGCTATATACAGTATGTTGTAACACCTCTTAGGGCGGACTACTTTGAATTTTCAGACGGTAGAAGGATTGTTCCTTTTGCTATAAAGTATCTGTTTTAACTTTAAATATCAAAGAGTTTAGTTACATTTTAGTCTGGAAGCCAAGAAAAAAAGCATGGGCAGTTTTAATCTTGAAATTCAAAACTATTCATCACAAAGAACTTAATTCTGAGATCTAGGTTAATAAACTTTTAAATTAAACTTCACCTAAAATTTAAAAAACAGAAAAATTTTGATTTAAAAATTATAAACATTAAATCATTATGTAAGGTAATATTTTAGTGTTCTACTTTTCTTTTAATTTAGGAAATTTTACTGGTGTTTCCCTTAAAATGTCTCTCTCTCCTAAGTCATTTATCTTTTAGAGTTAATTTATTATTAGTTATTCAGAAAAATGTACAGCACCATAAAAGAAAATTTCATACAGCAACCTGCAGCTAAACACAATTGTGGTTAAAAATTTTAAAACCAATGAGTGTTGGCTTATTTTCCAAGAATACACTGTGTTTGGTCGATTAGAATAACTTTTTTTTTTTTTTGAGATGGAGTCTTGCTCTGTCACCCAGGCGAGAATGCAGTGGTGTGATCTCAATTCACTGCAACCTCTGCCTCCCAGGTTCAATCGATTCTCCTGCCTCAGCATCCTGAGTAGCTGGGATTACAGGCGCCCACCACTGCGCCCAGCTAATTTTTGTATTTTTAGTACAGACGTGGTTTCACCATCTTGGCTAGGCTAGTCTCGAACTCCTGACATCGTGATCCACCCGCCTTGGCCTCCCAAAGTGCTGGGATTACAGGTGTGAGCCACCGTGCCCAGCCTGGATAACTTTTTCTTAATGTGATACTTCAGAAATTTTTTGAAGCAGAAATAAAACAAATTTAAGCAATGATAAATGTGGTTAGAAGAACTGTCATTCATATCTGGTAAAGAAATATTTTATAGACAAAATAATGCTCCAGTAGAGTTAGTTCCATTTTTTTCTTTGCCATAGTTTCAAAACACAGGTGACACTTAAATTAAAAAGAAAGAAACAAAAGGCTAAACAGACCTCACAGGTTTGGCTTTCAGCTGAGCCGGGGAGGGTGGTTGTGAGTGCCCCAGATTTGTGAACTTTTCCTCACCATGTTAGTTTGTACTCATTTCTCTTTCAAATAATTGCACTAGAAATATCTTGCTAGTGATTGACAATTCATTTATAATATTTTAATTTTATAGACAAAATAATGCTTTCACATTATTTAAAGCATTTAGTTTGATTGGAAATCTGCTGAAAATAGAGTCAATTTTTGGAAAATAATTGTACCGTACGTGATTTTGTAGAGACATTCCTTGACTAAGGTAGTGGAAAATGTGCTCCCTGTTTGCTTCCATCAAAGCTAAAAGGGACATTGTCAGTGGAGAAAACCGAGCTGAATTACCGGACCTTGGAACTGACACACACCTGCCAGTGACATGAAACTACCTGATGACCTCCTGGGCCCAAATCAAGTGATTTATTTAGAAAATCAAATCCCAGCTAGGTACTTTTTTTTTTTGTTCCTTTTCTTTAGCTTTTGGAGGGAAAAATGTATCCTGTTTAAAAATAAAAATCAAACTTTGGAAGTTTACTTTATGACCTCTACATAAAATATGCTTAATATACTCTTGGATTCTAGTCAACTTTAGGTTACAATTGATTCCTTGAAGACAGATATTCATGGAAATCCACTGTTGAAAAAGATTATTTCACATTTTTACCATCAGTTCTGTTGACTTGTTTGTGTTTTCAATGGCAAAAGATTACCCTCAATTTGATAAGCTTCATACGTTCTCCTACTATATCAAAGAAGAGAGAGCTACGAACACACGCAGTCAATTCACAATTATTCACTTAAGCTATCTGTGGCATATTTTATACCCATAATATGGTATGTATCTTGGAGTGTTCTCTTAGAATTAGTACATGCTCTTTCCTCTGTTCTTGCGTGTTTTCACCTGCAGATCAAATTGTGCCAGAATGCAAGTCGAGAAGAAAGCCCTCACCTGCACCCTGTAGAGTGTTCTTAGTCCAGGTCAGAGAGTTAAAGCGTTCACTTCTACTTCTTTTCCACATACTTGCTACTTTAGCAATGGTGGCCTTTGTGTGAAGATGATTAGTTTTATATAGATGAAGTATTTAATACAGGAAAAGACCCATTATAATGCAAGAGCATCAGTATTGTCTACTTGACTCATTTCCCATGGTCAGGTTTCTGGGATGGCACAGACTGGGAGAATGTGGTGTCAATTATCGCAAGAAGAGAGAAAACACAAGAGTGGGGAGCATTTTCTCCCTAATGCAATGTGTGCCACACACAAAACATGCGAAAGGTGACCTGTGCTGGGATCCTGCTTTATGCATTATTTAATAAAATGTATTATATCTGTCATAACTCAAATGTTTAAATTCCAAAAGCAATCAGATGACTTGGTGAAAATGATCATGTCATGTTGGAATAACTAATTTGAAGCTCTATTTTATCAATTGCCATGGTAAATCATCTTTTATAAAAATAAATATTACAGTAAAGTATAACAAAAATTATATCACAAATTTAGTACATTGAGATTTAAAGAAAGCATTCTTGGCAGTATAGAATGAAATTCAATACATGTATCCAAAAAAATTAGACAATATTGCCATAAAATATATTATTTGGTCAAAATATTCTCTGTTTCTAATGTAGTAAAGTACATATCCATAGAAGTTTGTGTAGCATCTCAGGAAGGCAAAAGTAGACATGTTGTTTCACAGTACTTTCTTTGGTGCCATACATTTTAAAAAATATATAATGGCAGGTCTTCTCCTGCCAGTTTAGAGTTAACTCAGCTTTTCCAATATGGACAAAAACCATATTTTATAATTTCCACGGATAAATGTAAATCATTAATGGGAGAAAATGAGAAAATTTATCTTCTCCCACGTGTTTGATGCAATAAGTTACAGAGTTTATTTCTATCATTAATTTCACTTTAGTCACGTTTTTTGATAAATGGAAAGGAATGTTTAAAGCTTTAATCTTATATGATCTGTATTATCAAAGGAAGAGTTAATAATGCATTTAATGAGTATTAACATGAAAGCTAGCACTCAGGCCACAATTAATGCCTACTTCGTCAGCAGATGTAGAAGACAAGTAAATAACAGAGAGCCTAATGGCAAGTCTGTTAGATGTGTCATGGACAGAGGCTTTTTGAAATTCAGTAAAAGCATCTAGTACTCAGTTTCAATCTGAAAGAACGAATGTCCAGAAGCATTGCAATTGGGCTATAAATAACTATTGGAAAGAGGTATGCTATATTTCCATAAATGGTTAGAAAGAATGACTTGGTGATGCTCTTAGTCTTCTTTAAGGTGTTACATTATAATGTGAGCAAAGGCCCTTTTTGAACTATTCTCCACACTGACAAAATAACATTCACTTTATATGGGTCACAGAAGCTCAACCATCCTAAAAATTAATCACATTGGCTCAACATGTTTAATCTCAAGGGATCCCTCGAGGACTTTTCCTATCACTCTGCTTCCTATGTCACCTCTAGTCTGCATGGGTAGAGATCAAAGGCTTAATGTGTTTCCCTGAAGAACCCATCAATTACATTTCTTTTGGTAACGGGAAGTGTGTTATAAAAGAATTAGAAACCTCCCCTTGTGATGAGAGGCTGGTACTCCTGTGGGATTCAGTTACATCTTTAGACAAGAAGCTTTGAAGTAAAGATAAAATTATGATAAAGACAGGCAGTGCAGAAGCCTGCTGTTTGACCTTGCTGAGACTCACACTCCATGCTATTGCTGGCCTATGCCCACTGAAGTATACCCATAAGCAGACTGGAAATACAATGATTTTTTTTGTCCAAAGGTGAGGTGGAATGCCTTCTATATTTTACTGTGTTTTTCTGGAGTAACTCTGACATAAGCCCTACCATCATCTAGCACCTGGCTTTTCATGGGCCACAGCATCAGCATTACTTGGAAGCTTGTTAGAAATTAAGAATCTCAAGTTATTTCAGACCTACTGAAGCAGAATCTGCATTTTAAAAATATCCCCAGAATATTTGTGTGCATGCTGAAATTTTAGAAGCCCTGCTCTACATTGTCCCTATTTGATTGAAGTCAACACATAACTCCTTTTGCGCTAGCTGGTAGCTTATCTTGATCTTACAATTCAGGATTTGCTGTGCTTATTCTCCTACTACCCTTTCCCTCTTCACTGGATAAATAGAAAATATTTGATGAGGGAACAGTTTAGCATTTACTTAAACAAATTATTTAGTTTCCAATTAAATATTTGAACAATTTTTACTATTGTATGATAATATGTATAATATAGTTTGAGTAGAGCAATTAGAGGTAAAAGGAAATGTATAAGTGAATTGAATACTTTCTGAGTTTATTACTATATATGTTCATGTTTGCATCACTGTCCAATCCTTTATGTTTTATGTGAATTCATCTACTAAGATAAATGCAGTGTTTACTTATACTGACACAATAATTGCAAATTTAATTACAAAATATTTATATGCAAACTGGCAATTTTAACAGGTACAGCATAAAAATGTCCTGGTTTAAGATACAACCAATTACCTCCTGTTTCCTAATAAACAGGGAATAATTCAAAGAAAAACTCCCGTGAAGAACCAGTTTTAATGAGAAAAGCTCACTCTAGTGTTGTATACGGAGAAATTATTTTATCTAAGTTGTTATATAACAGATGCATCAATTTTCAAATTGAACTCTTAAAAAAGTTGTCATACTTCTGGTGTATTTCCATGTTATGGTTAATTAATCGTTATTTAGGTTTTACTACCTTTTACTTAGAAGTAGTTAAACTGTTATCCCCACATTTCTATCTGCATAACATTAAGCACTATTATTGCTGATATTTTAAAGGTGATGTTACAAATGTTTGTGTATAAGCATGTGTACCCGAGAAATACTGACATATTATTTTCACATCATCTAGATATAAACTGTGTATTTGTTTACTAGTTCTAATAGGTTCTAAGGATTAAAAGTTTACAGGAGATGAAATGCAAGCTCACTGGCTGCCTCACTGGGTGACTTAACAGGTGTCCATATGAAGAAAAAGTGGGCATTGTGACCCCCATAAGAAGAAACACAGATATAAATAAAGACCATGTCTTTTGGATATTTTCCATTAAAATTTAGTATTTGGTTTTTTTCTATGGTTAGTGTTTAGTTTGTTCTATTTTTGTGTTCTTGCTAAATGTAAAACATTCATCTTGCTTCATTGACCTGGAAAAATGAAAAGGACAGCTGCATAGATCAGGGATTCTTGGAACTTCTTCAAGTGCTTTCAGACCCTGTGTACCTTCCCCAGCCTCCTCAACCAGAATGGCTTCTATAGTTACTAGAAATTGTATTCATTTATCGACATGCATACCCTGATAGTGTTTGTATATGCTAATAAAACTGGGAGTAATGCAAAGGAATCGGACAAATACCCAGGAGTCTCAACAATCACCATGTCAGGTCTCAGAGGCTGGAAAATCATCCAGAGCACAAGAATTATCAAGTAGGTGTCCATTGCTTCCTATTCAAATGCTCTGCCATTATAGTAACTATAGTCAGTTATATTATTGTCAGAAGTTATTTGCTATCCATCCCTATTAAATAATTACATTGTCTTGGCCTATATCACCGTATCAGATATGATTCTATGACTTAGTTTGGCCTATTAAATGTGAGAAAACAAGTGACAAATGGCATTTCCAAACACAGCCTCTAAGTGCTACCAGTCTTTTTCCTTAGCCATGGGAATGATATGTACCATAGGGCCCGGTCATTCAGCCAGAGTCCTGAAATGAGGAAATGGAACAAAGCTACAACTGAGACATATTGGTATATATTTGAGGGAGAAATAAGCATTTGTTTTTGTCAGGCATTGAACATTTGTGCCATTTGTTACAGTAGCATTATCTTGCCTAGAATGACTGGCATGGTCATCAGCTATTCTATGTTGCTATCAATTGATTTCTCTTATGCTTATTCCATTTAGTTTGCTCTCTCTCTCTCTCTCTCTCTCTCTCTCTCTCTCTCTCCACCCCCCACCACCACACACACATGCATATCTCAGAGAAATTGCAGGTTTGTTTCCAGACCACTGCACACTTCAATAAAGCAAATATTGCAATAAACCAAGTCACATAAATTAGGGGGGCTTTCTTAGTACATATGAAAATTATGTTTACCCTACACTGTACTTTTTTATGTGTGCAGTATTATTATGTCTATAAATTCACATACCTTAAAGAAAAAATAATAAAAAATCCTAATGATCATCTGAGCCTTCAGTTAGTTGTAATCACATTGCTGGCAGAGGATCTTGCCTCGATATTGATGGCTGCTTACTGATCAGGGTGGTGGCTATGAAGCTTGGAGTGGCTGTGAAAACTTCTTAAAATAAGACAATAATGAAGTTTGCCATATGGATTGATGCTTTATTTCATGAAAGATTTCTCTGTAACAGGAGATGCTGTTTGATAGCATTTTGCTCACAGTAGAATTTCTTTCAAACTTGGTATCAATCTTCTCAAAACCTGCAGCTACATTATCAATTAAGTTTATGTAATATTATACGTCATTTGTTGTCATTTCAACGACGTTCACAAGCATCATCACCAGTAGAACCTAACTCAAGAAACCGCTTTCTTTGCTTATCCAAAAGAAGCAACTCATTCGTTGAAGCTTTATTGTGACATTGCCTCAATCCAGTCAGATCTTCAAAGTCTACTCCTAATTCTACTTGCTATTTCCATTACATCTGCAGTTACTTCCTCCACTGAAGTCTTGAATCCCTCAAAGTCACAAAGCTATTACTTCCACATTGAAAATCTGTTGCTTAGTATATCCACCTTTACAAATTATTTTAGCTATATATTCCAGATAACTTGCTACAGCTTCTCCATCAGCACTTGCTACTTCACCTTGTACTTTTATGTTATGGAGATGGCTTCTTTCCTTAAATCTCATGAACCAATCTCTGCTACCTTCCAACTTCTCTTTGGCAGCCTTCTAATCTCTCTCAGCTTTCATAGAATTAAAGAGAGTTAGGGCTGTGTTCTGGATTAAGCTTTGGCTTAAAGGAATGTTGTGGCTTGTTTGATCTTCTGTCCAGATCATTCAAACTTTCTTGATATTAGCAAAAAGGCTGTTTTGCTTTCTTATGATTCCTGTGTTCTTTGGAGTAGATTTTTAAATTTTCTTCAAAAATTTTTCCTTTACATTCACATCTTGGCTGTTTGGCTCAAGATGCCTAGTTTTTGGCCTATCTTGCTTTTGACATGCCTTTTTTTTTTTCTATGCTTAATCATTTCTATATTTTTGATTTAAAGTGAGAGATGTGTGACACTTCCTTTCACTCGAACACTAAGAGGCCATTGTAGAGATATTAATTGGACTACTTTCAATATTGTTTTACTCAGAGAATAGGGAGGCCTGAGAAGAGTGAGATGAATGAACAGCTGGTAGGTGGAGAAGTCAGAACACACACACATTTATCAATTAAGTTTTTCTCTTGTATGGCCACAATTCATGGCACCCCAAAAGAGTTACAATAGTAACATCAAAGATTACTAATCACAGATCACCATCACAGATATAATAATAATGAAAAGTTTCAAATATTGTGAGAATAAACTAAATGTGACACAGAGACATGAACTGAGCACCCATTGTTGGAAAATTGGTGCCAATAGGCTTGTTGGACTCAGGGTTGCCACAAACTGTCAATTTATGAAACACACAATATCTGAAAAGCATAATAAACAAAGGTATGCTTGTGTATGGCTTTTTTGTATTTATTGTTTCCACTTATGTATGGTATGTATTGCTTCGTGTATTCTTTCACTGTGATTTTATTATTTTGTGTCTCCTGTGTCTTTCTGCTTCTAATTTGTACTGTCCACTCTCTAAGTTTCTCATTAATATTCTCAAGAAAATTAGTCATTTTATCATCCTGGCTGAGCAGAATGTTCATGCCTGTCCAGTTTATTGGCCATTAGTCAGCCATTATAGTCGTGTATCTGAGGACTTTTGTGGCATGTCATTTACTACATGGAGAATATTTTGGTAACAATTTTCATGATAGGTAAAATGTCACATGCCCTTAAGTTTTCTTAGAAATCATGAATAGTTATTAAAATATCTTTCTTTAAGACTTTCTCAAAATGTTAGCACCTATAAATGGAATAATTGTATTATTGCCATGGATTCTATTCAGGAAATCAGATGTAATCAGAAGCTAAAATACAATTAAAAGAAAACTGAGTGTTTCTAATAAGCTTTCTCTTTATTAACTAAAATACATATTATAATGAAAATCACATTGATCTCTCATTTTAGGATATTTGGTTTGGTTCGTTCTACTATTAGTCACTCTATTAGTCATAGGAGATGAATGATTTCATTCTTTTCCATTTTCTCTGTTATCATTTTCTTGCAAACTTTATAGTAGAGAAAAAGAGTTCTATATAATCTCCAGGCTCTGCTCACTCTGCTGTGTTTATGAGTCCATCTAATCCTTACAACCACATTTCAGGTTGACAATTGTTAAGACATCAGTGGATATGGATGCCAATTTCATGAAATATCCCTGAGAATAACACATCCTGAATTATTTTTGAAACTTAAGGTATTCATCCTGCAGAGGAGAAATAGCTTCAACATTCTTTCATTTCTGTTCAATCAATTTCCACAAATTTGTATTCCAAGGCAAGCCTCTTTCATTTAGTCACAGCATTACAGAAACCAAAAGCTCAAAATACCTCTAAAACTACTGAATGGAATCCTGTCAAAATAGAAGCTCAGGCTCATGCCTTAGCATCTGCCCTCAGAAAAACTGTGAAGTTTTTAGTGGCAACAGAGGAAGAGAGGATGCATTAGAAATAGCACTTGGCCTCACATATTTTTAGAGGAAATCTTGATTCTGCTACTTTCTGGCTGTGTGATCTTCACAACTCAGTGCCCTTAACAAGAACACAAATTAGATTTAATATTCATTACATTCAACTGAAGATTCTTATTTTGATGCCATCCTGGATTCCTCTATTTTAATGCCTGTAATTTCAGGGTGCCACTGGTAAGCTCAGTGTTCCCCTCAGGACCACAGTCTATGAGCCTCAAGCTCGTCTTACCCCATGTCCGAAATTCAGATGGATATTTTCATTGTTTTATTTCAAATAGTTTATTTCAGTATATTAATGCTACAGACGGAATTGTGTCCCCCAAAATTTATATGTTGAAGCCCTAGCCCCCAATATAATTACATTTGAAGATAGAGTTTTTAGGAAGTAATTAAGCTTAAATGAGGTCAATAAGGGTCTGTTCATAATCCAATAGAATTGGTGGCCTCATAAGAAAAGGAACAGGTCTGGCGCGGTGTCTTATGCCTGTAATCCCAGCACTTTGGGAGGCCAAGGCGGGCGGATCACGAGGTCAGGAGATCGAGACCATCCTGGCTAACACGGTGAAACCCCGTCTCTACTAAAAATACAAAAAGTTAGCCGGGCGCTGTGGCGGGCGCCTGTAGTCCCAGCTACTCGGGAGGCTGAGGCAGGAGAACGGCGTGAACCCTGGAGGCGGAGCTTGCAGTGAGCGGAGATAGCGCCACTGCACTCCAGCCTGGGCGACAGATCGAGACTCTGTCTCAAAAAAAAAAAAAAAAAGAAAAAGAAAAAAGAAAGGAAAGGAACAGAGAGAGATTGATCTCTCTCTCCATGAGCACGAAGAGGTCATATGAGCACACTGCACAATGGGGGCCACCTGCAAGCCAAGAGAAAAGGCTTCAGAATGAAACCTATCTTGCCAGCACCTTAGTCTTAGACTTCCAGCCTTTATAACTGTGAGAAATAAATTTCTGTTGTTTAAGCCATCCAGTCTGCGGTATTCATTATGGCAGCCAAAATGAACAAATAGAATTAATCCCTACCTTTTCATCCCTCGAACATTTAACCTGCTGCTGGAGTGACCACATCTGCATTTGTCAAGAGCCTCTTTAGACATTCTTAAGCCAATGAAATGACATTAACAGAAGAAAAGGAATGTTGGGATTGAGACATGCCAATGAAATAGAAATTAGGGTTAAAATAAAGAAAATCAAGACAAATATAAGTAAGGTTTTTGTTGTTGTTGTTGTTTCTTTTTGAGATACAGTCTTGCCCTGTGGCCGAGGCTTGAGTGGAGTGGTCTGGTCATGGCCCACTGTAGTTTCAACCTTCCTGGCTCGAGTGATCTTCCTACCTCAGCCTTTCCAGTAGCTGGACCACAGGCATGTGCCATCATCAGCTAATTTTCTTTTTATGTTTTAATTTTTTGGTAGAGATGGAGTCTCACTAGGCTGCCCAGATTGGTCTCAGTCTCCTAGGCTCAAGCTATCCTCCCACATCAGCATTCCAAAGTGTCGGGATTATAGGCATGAGCCACAGCACCTGGCCAGTAAAATTCTAACAAAGGGGAATGAGTGAAAGGTGACAAAAGTTATTAGTGAAAACATTATATCTGATGGCTTTCCTGTTCTCTTTCCTTCATTTTCATTAAAAAAACTCGTGACTAATTAAAAGTGAAAAGGAAGAGTGCATTTATTTTTTACCTGTTTAACTATTTTTTTTCTTTGAAGAAGTTCAGAGTAAATAACATGGAAATAACTACACAAACAAATTGTAACTGATTTCATGTAAAAATGAGTGATACTTAAGTGTAATGTAAAATCCTATACATTTTATTATAATAAAAGAAAATAAAGAGCAGAATCATGTCTACATAAAATGAAAGCACACCAGAAAGACAGGCTTATATAAAATATGCAATTTTACATTTTCTTTCTAAATTAGTGAGAAGACAAGAAGGTTGTAAAATAAAGGAAACACTGTTAATAAGAATTAGAAAAGTTTAGAACATAAGTGGCAGAACCTAAAAGTTTATTACATAGAAAATATTACTTAGAAATTAAAGTAGTCTAAATAAAACACAAGAGTAAATGAGCATAAATTATGAAATATATATGTAATTACGGTATACATAGATTGATATATATGAATTGTTAGATAGAATATAATGTAAATTATGAAACAGAATATTAAAATGAGAAAAATTTAAAAAGAAATGAAAAGGTTTGAGGAGGAAATGAGAACAATTGGTAGTCAAAGAAAGCTCAACATTTAGATAATATGAATCTCTAAAGACAAAAAAATCAAAGCAAGGGTATAGAAAAATACTAAAATACAATAAGTAACATATAATGAAAAGAATTATATTTTCATCAAAAATTTTAACACCAATAATTTATTCCAAAACGAAATTGAGTAATAAAATACTAAAGAAATTAAAATGTGAGCCGCTAATTTTGTATCTAGCAAAGTTGATTTTCAAATATAAAGGTCACAGACAAACTTTTTGTGACATGTAAAAACTCAGTAAATTGTTTCCTTTTCTGAAGAATCTACTAAAGGGAATGATTAGGCAATGAAAATGACTAGAGAGACATTGACATAACTAGTGATGAACGTTAACTATATAGTTACTTGTAGAATGAATCCTACATGAGTGTTACAAGGAGGAGAATATAATATGCTCAGACCCTGTAGATGTAGTACAACTATAGCAAAAAGCGAGGTGGGGATTATAGGAATAATATATGTAAAAATAGTTTTGAGAGTTCTCAGTGGATGTGGTGATATTAATATTGTTAGTCTAAAACTATGGTATATGTAATGTGTGAAAAATTAGTACTTATGAGATTTACTAATTCTGTAATTCATTGTCCTTTGAAAGTAGGATTCTGATTCTTTATGAAGAAGAAAGCAGATACAAGTGTAATACATGTGATTAATTTGAAAAGCCTCTAGTACTAAATTTGAAATGGAAGTATAAATATGGAATTAAGAGTATCCTGATTTATACATATATAAACATATATAATATAGTGTGTGTATGTGTATATATAGTGTATGTATGTGTATATATTCCTAGCTTTCCTACCAAAGAGCCTAGAAACAATGACCACCTCAGAAACAATGTATATCCCTAGCATCTGACATCCAGGTAGTCTTAAAATACTATTTCTCATGAAAATACTAGGATTGCTTGAAAAATGTCTCATGATGTATCTGCGGCAGCAAATGTCCAAGCTAAGTCTAAAACATCTTGTTATACCAATTGGTAATAAAGCTATCAAAGATTACTAGAGTAATGTTAAAAATTAGTAGATTTATGTCAGAAGGAGACAATTTGAAGAAGCTCCCACTAGCCAAAGATAGAATAATTTGTACTTTAATAAGGATAATTGCAATTGACTTAAATCCATTACTATACTATATTGACAACAGATCAATAAGGGGAAATAAAAAGCATTTATCTTATACTACTGGGTGAATAAATAACAGAGGAGAAGCGTGTCTCTTTATAATAATATTCTAACTAAAATATAGGCGGGAAATTATATAAATGAAATATCACTAATTTGCAATCCCCATTGAATTAATCAATTTAAGCATTGAATATCAACAGCTGCCAATGTCACAGAAAGAAAGGCAACCACAAATTATGTGGCTCTCTAGGAAAGAAATCAATATCATTATCATGATGTCAAAGGGGTTGAACATGAGTCTGATAAAGAGCCTGGATTTACCTGTCAATTTGTAAAAAAAAAAAAAAAAATAGGCAGAGGAACATACAAAGCTTTACCATGAGTATAAAATCAGTAAACTTTAGACTCTTTAATGCTGTAGGCCAAATGATTCAGATTCTTCAACAGGTAAATAGTGAGGGAAAGGAATAGAAGGGAACCTGTAGATGAAAGGAACTTAACAACATGCTGAATTTTTAAAAGTTAGTCAATGCCACAGAGCTACAGTGTTTCAAGATGTACACTTTGGTGAAAAAAAATTATAATGAAACATAGAAATGATTACCATAAAAGTTAAGAGCATAATTACTTTATGGGGAAGGCGGAAAAGTGAAGGGGATTGGGAAGGAATAGGGTTTCGGAGGTAGCTGGCAATGTTCTTTATCTGCGTGTTGGTTACAAAGGTACTTACCATCATCATTATTCATGCCCAATCCGTGTAGTAACAGCACAAAATAAAAAGTTAATTTCCTCTTTTAGCAACCCCATCCCTCTTCTCTCATAAGTTATCACTTATGACATACTCATGTATATCCTCCCAGATATTTTTCTAACCTTTTATATTAGATAGATAGACATATATATATATACATGTACATATGCAATAATGTATAAATATAAACTTGAATAAGGTTTTTATGTATTTTTTATAGAAATGCAATCAGCCTATATATATTATCCTTTGACTTCCTTTTCTCACTGAAAAATATGTCTAAGCTACATTTTCTATTAGATAACTACCTTTGCCTCATCCTTTTGAATGGCCATATGATATTTCTTAGAATGGCCACACAATTATTTAACTGTTTTATTAGATATTGTATATGTATAAAATATTTATAAAAATATGAAAAATATAAAGACCAGTGATGAAAACTCCCATCATTAGTTTAAAATATAGCTCAATATCTTTGAAGTTTGCTGTGTATGCCAGACCTTTTCCCATCCTCTTTCCTGAGTTATTTTACAGTATCAGGTTGATTATCCTCAAAGTTTAGTGTTTTGTATTCATATCTTCAAGCTTTTATTACATTTCTTTAAATGTGTTATAATATTTATTTTAATTCTGTGTTTGATAATTTCATTATCCATAGTCTTGAGACGCTGGGATTATTGTCTTGTATTTCATTTGTCCATGAAACTTTGTTTCCTTGTGCATTTTGTGACTTTTTGTTTACTGTGAGTTCATAACTTTTTGGATCTTTATTTATAGGAATTCAGTTTTAGGCATGAGTTAAAGCCTTCGGTTATTTTCTTAGTGGTAATTTTCATATGATTTTGATAAATGCCTAGCTAAGTTACTAACCTGAAACCACTTTCAACTGAATTATCAACTTCACTTCAAACTTTCTCATCACTGGCTCTTTAATGTGCACTTAGGAGCACATGGAACAAAGTGCAAAGTCAATGCAATAGCCCAAAGCGCTGTAGTTAATACTGTGATAGGCAGTTTAAAATATAAGTTACAGAAATGTGACTATGTTTTTTCTTCTATAATACTGGCAGCTTTTGGGGGCTTTCTGTATTATTTCATTCTATACTGAAACTACCTAAAAAGTCAATATTAGCAATATTCTATAGTTCAGCAAACTGAAGTGTGTAAAATTAGGCTATTTTTTTCCCACGACATTTTCAACTGGTGCCTGTTTCATCTACCACATCCCATACCATAAGCCTAGAGGTAGTATAATTGTCTTTCTTATTTCTCATTACCATTTTCAGCCCATTTTTTCTTTCTACTCTTCAAATCTTGGGTTCTTTGAAGTACCTGCTTGCAGACTAGATTTGCTATTAGTTCTCCTTTTTGCTGTCATCTAATCTCCAGGGTTCTCCCCTCGGTTTTTAACTATCTTAATATCCAGCTCATTCCCTTTCTAACTTTATTCCTGACATTATTTCTTGTGACTTCAGTCTCTGTTGTTGATGTCTTTAATACTTAGCTTCTCAGAAAATCTCATATATAAGAACCCTACTCTGACCACTACATGCTGTCTTTCAAGTTCACATTAGCTTCTTCTCTCCAACAACTCTTTTGCCCACATTGAAACATCCAATGCTTTGACCCAACCTATTTTTCACTGTCATCTGCCTTATCTTTTTTCTTAATTTTCTCTTTACCTATATTAGCCTCTGTGATTAATCACTTTAATCACTGTCTTGCAGAGGCCCTCAACTCCTTGCCTTTCCCTAATGTGTTCAAAATGTGCCTGGCAAAATGCCAAGCCTGCTTAAACTCATAATTCTGCTTATTCTGTGCATACACCTGAATATCTGAACATGGGTAGAGAAAAAGCACAACCACACTGACTGTTTTACCCTTAAATTTATAGTCACTAATCTTTTGTGGGCACTCAGTAATGCTAAGCATTCCTATTATATTTCCCTAGTAAATTGACTTGCTTTGTCATCAAAATGACTCTCATATTTTCTCTCTCTCAATCACCTTAAGCTCTCTTCACTGACGGTAAAATCTATTCTTGCTTCACTGATAACATAGATGCCACCAGAATAGAATGCTCTTGTCTTTTTATCATCGAATCTTTCAGCCTACATTAATATGCACACATTATTCGTTGAAACATTTAGGATGTTTTCTCCAACAATCAGCAAAATACACTATGAAAATTCATTTTAAAATGGGTTTTAAAATATCACATTAAAGAAAAACAGAGATGTGTGGTTTCAGTATTGATTAGTTCCATGCTTAAAAATATTACAGCTCTGGGTGGCTTCTCTGTGATTCTCTTGGCTGTAAGATGGTTGGCACAGTTCCAACATCATGTCCTAATACATCAAAACATAGATAGTAGGAGTTTCTCTTTGCATGTATCTCCTTTTAATCAAAAAACAAAACAACTTCCCAAACTTTTGAACAAACTTTTGCCTGTATATCTTTGAGCAATTTTAATCATATGCCCACCCCTAAACCAATCATAATCAAAAAGGAAATGTGATTGGTTAGGTCCAGTCCATTGAAGTGGGTCTATTAATCCGAGGCATATCTTAACATAATTTGGATCATTTTAGAAAAGATAAAGGAGGAAATAACAATTTTAGAGATAACCAATATTATGTACTACGCCTTTATATTTTGCTTTCTCTGTTGTTTTAATGGATGACTTGTCTCTATACTTTATTAAAGATCAACTTCACTTACATACTCGATCCCATCTTCTCTTGCTTGCTCAAGGATTTTGTCTCTCAACCCCTATTTTCTCTGTATCAACAATTTCTCCCTTCCCAAACATTTGTTGCCATTAACATATAAATATGCTATAACATTTCTTTGTTTTTTGTTTTGTTTTGTTTTGTTTTGAGACAGAGTTGCTCTGTCATCCAGGCTGGAGTGCAGTGGTGCAATCTCGGTTCACTGCAAGCTTCTTCTCCTGGGTTCACACCATTCTCCTGCCTCAGCCTCTCGAGTAGCTGGGACTGCAGGCGCCCGCCACCACGCCCAGCTAATTTTTTTGTATTTTTTTAGTAGAGACAGTGTTTCACCTTGTTAGCCAGGATGGTCTCAATCTCCTGACCTCATGATCCACCCACTTCAGCCTCCCAAAGTTCTGGGATTACAGCCGTGGGCCATGGCTCCAGGCCAACATTTCTTAGCTAATTCTTTTGACTTGAAAATCCCCTACAATTAGGCCAGAGAAACAAATTTTTTCCAAGTGTTGTGCGTGATCATTGTCTCTATTTTTTCCTTATTCTCCATAGTCAGATTAAATTACTGGTATCTACATTACATATTAAGAGGTTTAATCTAATTAAAGTTATTATAATTATTGTGGTTTGCTGTCATCACAAGTTCACTGAATGAATGTGTTTTTTTACATTCCATCAACTTTATTTTCTTGCTTATACATTTGTTATTTTACAATTGTACCCATTCTTTCAATTAATACCAAATAGAAAAAATAAAGCTGGGGAGAGAGAATTGAAGAATAAAGAGATAAAGGAGCTCTAAACAATAGTAGCAAAAGGTTTGGAAAAGTATAGGAAATGATGGGGTAAAAGGAAGACATATTTATATGAAGGTCTGTCAGGGCCATTGATTGGCCTTAGAGAGTGGTAGTCTTTTATTAAATCAAGGAAGAATGCTATATACATTTTTGTGGATCCTCATTTATCTATTAAAATGTTGTGCTTATAAGTAGGTCCAGGACACCTATTTGTCAAATTTAAGTTTTCAAATTGTAGAGTGTTTTCAGAAAAACTAACCAAACATCACATGTGATTTGTACAACCACTTTGTGAGGTAAAATAAAAAAGAATAATTGTCATTGTTTTACTATATTTGTGATTTCAGGCCAGTCATTTAACCTTTTTGAACCCTAATTTCATCATCAGTAAAATGCAGATAATGCCCCTATTACTAAGGCTGTAGTGAGAATTGAATTAATTCAGTACCCAGCACATAGCAAGGATATTTATGTTAGCTATTATTATTATCGTTATCATTATTATTTTAAAGACAGGGAAACGGAGGTTCAGAAAGGTTAGAAATACCCAACTGGAGAATGATGAGTTCTTGAGATCAAAATCCAGGTCTTTTTATTTCGATCTAATGACCTCTCTACTTTACCATATTGTTGGACAAAGTGGGTATCACTTAGGATGGATTATAACATAAATTCAATTCCAGACAAATTTCTTTCCCTTAGGAGACTGACTTTTGTCTTCTTTTCTGACAATGGGAATTAAAACACTGATTAGCTTTACCTCTGTTTACTGGTTGCTGAGAAACTGAATCAAATTTAAAGTGTAATCATAGCAATTATCTGTCTTTATTGACTTTATCTTCATTTCCTTTATATATGTCTTATTTGTGTTCTGATTTGTCTTGGTAATTACTTTTTACATGTATTTTCGTATTAACTGTACTCAATTTCTTAGGAGAATTGCTCAGCATTGTTGAACAAATAAATCTTTGCTACTACTCTTGTTGGGACTTGCAACATAGAGTGGCCCATGTGAGAAGTAGAGAAATTGCAAGCCAAAGCCTACAGTTTGGAGCTTCCACCCTTGTGGCTCCTTATTTAGAGCTCACAATTGAAACCACTATTTGTTTTTTCTGTGATGTCTTAATATATGCAGAATGATTCTTCCAATTGTCAGTCACACAAGCCTCTTTTGATTTCTAAGGCTCAGCTGCTCTGGGGAACAACAGTAAGTGTTCACACTAGGGTTCTCCAAAATTAACACATTTGCCTCAGAGCTTATATGTTTTCTCAATCTCTATCTCTTTTTAAATTGAGATATAATAAACATATAGCAAACTGTATAAAGTACATTACTCTTACTGATGCAGTTTAAGAATTATTTGCATATGTTTGCATTCCTTTAGCCATCACCTAGATCAAGATATAGAACACTTCCAGCATGCTCTAAGGTTGTTTTGTGCCCTATCTTGTCCACACAACCTCCTCCAGAAGGTAACTTGTATTGTGACTTCTGTCATCAACAATTAGTTTTGCCTGTTCTTAAATTTTCTGTAAATAAAATCATGCATATTGTATGAACATTTTTGTGTGTCTGGCTGACCTCTCTTTTATTATTCAACACATCTAAGATTTATCCATGTTTTCTCTTGTATGTGTATTTTGCTGTTTTTTACTTTGTACATTCTATAATGGACACAAATCTATATGATGCAAGAAAAGGCAAAATTATGGAACAATTTGTTTTTGTTTCCTTTATTCTTAGGTTTCTATTGTTAATTTCCTTAATCCTTTATGTAAAATATATGATAAATATGGAGGTCTTGCAAGGGAAAGAGAAGGGAAACTAATACTTAAAATACCAGAGTTAGAAGGATAGGAGAATTTCACTTACTATTAAAAATATTTCTGTACACATTTATTCATAACAAAACTAGTAGAAATTTTAGTTTTTCTTTATAGCCCATTCTTACCTTATTTACTTTGCACCCACAACACAATAGAGGGAAGAGAATGCTTATTTAGCTGTGGCCATTCCTACAGATTATATTTCTTCCAAATTCTAATTTATATTCCATTCCCTTTAATATTTTCCCCTCTTTCCTTTGTTTATCTCAGGTGGAGGGAAAGGATACCCAGAGCTTTTCCAGCACTGATATTATCTGGACCACACTGGTGATTGCTCTCTGCATAAATATCCTGCTTTCCCTATGCGCACAAAGTGTTTTCTTTCTAATCTTATGTAAATGGTGATATCTCACAGGAATGTTGACTGTAAAAGATCCTCCAGGGTTTCTTCTCCTTACAAAATTAGCTGAACCATTCTACATACAGGTTTTGTGTTATCTTTTTCACTGATATTGCTGAGATATTAAAATGTATAAAAATGATCAAAGTGGTTTCCCCTTCACTTTATCTTTTCTTTTTATCTATACGCTTCATTTCTTATCAATTTTAATAAAAATCTGATTTCTTGTTGGGTTCATCATCTTATTGTCATTTCTCACTTAGGTTTGAGACTGTATATGAGTTTTGAATTCTTATCTGTTTTCAGTGATTCAGAGTCTAAGTATACACTTTTCTGTTACAAATGAGTAAGCTAATATTACTGAGGTGGAGGTAGGGGTTTGGGGAAGAGTGAACGAGTACGACATACTCTTGTTTAGGATTCCCTGGGAATGAATTTGCATACTGATAAAACAATCTTAAGATATAAAATATTTGCATTGGTAAGTTACTTAAAGTATATATTAAATATTGCTATGCTATCAAAACAGCTACAGATTGATGCATGTCCTTAATTTTCCTAAGTCTTGTAGCCATGCAGCTATAGGTCTCTTCTAGAATCAGAAAGTAGCAGATCACCCAGACCAATTCCCCATTATGAGTTATGGAGAGGGTGGGAGGAAGACATACCTTATCTCATTTTTTTTTCTGTCATCAGAGGACCTAGAAAGGTATTCCTATAGTATTCAATTATTAGAAAAGACCTCAGAGGCCATCCGGTCTGACCTTACCTATCCTATACTAATTTATTTTCTACAACTTCCCGCAAATGATTATAGAATCTCTTCTTGAATACTGCCAGTGGCTGGAAATCTCAATCTGATACAACACATGTGCTGATCATAAGCAGCTAGCATTTCAGAAATCTATTGATATAGCACAATACCATATCATGACTTTAACAACTATAATTTATTATTTCTTACAATTATATAGGTTAGGAATTTGGGCAAGAATTAATAGGGCTGTTTTTCTAGTTTGCATATTGCCAAGGGGATCACTCGCTCAGCCAAATAGGGCCCAAAGATTCAAGATGGCTTTATACCTGGCACTTTGGTGCTCCCTGATGTAGTCTGTCTCTTTCTCTGTAGTGTCTTATCCTTCAAGCTCTATGTGGCTCTATCTTCAGCATGGGAATCTGTAACTCCTTGTAGCATGGCAGCTGGCTTCCAAGAGAGAACAAGAAAGTAGCAGGCATCTGAAAATCTAGGTTCAGAACAGTCACCGCATCACCGATCACTTCTTTCATACTCTTAGTTAAAACAATTTGGCCGGGCGCGGTGGCTCACGCCTGTAATCCCAGCACTTTAGGAAGCCGAGGTGGGCGGATCACGAGGTCAGGAGATCGAGACCATCCTGGCTAACATGGTGAAACCCCGTCTCTACTATAAATACAAAAAATTAACTGGGCGCGGTGGCGGGCGCCTGTAGTCCCAGCTACTGGGGAGGCTGAGGCAGGAGAATGGCGTGAACCCGGGAGGCGGAGCTTGCGGTAAGCCGAGATAGCGCCACTGCACTCCAGCCTGGGCTACAGAGCGAGACTCCGTCTCAATAAATAAATAAGTAAGTAAGTAAGTAAATAAATAAATAAATAAATAAATAAATAAATAAATAAATAAAACAATTCATGACCATCCCTGATTTGAGGCGTGAGGAAACAGAAATAGACTCCACTTTTTGAATACAGCAGCCACAAAGCCTCATTGCCAAAGTTGTAGGACGGGAGCTACCATTGCAGCTACCTTTGGAAACACCCTACCACATCCAGAAAGTAATGCATCACACAGAAAGGCCTCCTCTCCCTTACCTACTGCCAATCAATGCTCCTGATTGTTTTCATTATGATGCTCCCTCCAGCCGTTTCAACGATCTTCCAACTCAGGCCTTATAAACCGTAATCCTGATTTCTAATTCTAGCCCAGCTGAATTTGATATATACATGTATTATTCTAAAACACAGTTTTGCTCATTCTTTTAAGTGTTGGAGGTAGAAAATTCCATATCCTAGAGCAAGGAAGGGATGAGAACAATGCTCTTCATGTCATGTTGAGACATCTTTAACTGTCAAAAAATTTTTCTGCATAGAGAACTACAATTCAACCCCCTGTAAATATTATTATTTCCTAGTTCTATGTGTAAGAGATATTTAAATGCTAAATACAGCTAAAATATTCTCAGACAAGCTATTGCCTACTCTTTGCTAAACAACCCTGTCTTCTGTCATTGTTTCCAAACCCTCTGCTAGCATAACAAGTCTTTCTCAGATGGACTTCATTTGGCTGATATATATCTTAAAGCAGACACAGTTTACTTGGAGAGATGATGTTATTTATATTCTAGTTCTGGACACTATAAATCTATTGCCACTGCTGTCTTATTTTGAGCTGGTGATCAAACAAAATCTTTAAATTTTGTTCATACTTTCTGTTCACTCATTTATCTCTCATTCTATAGTTAGTATATCCACATTGTTGCATATAAACCTGATATGTATAAACTCAGGTGAAGTGCCTGGAACATTTGGGGGATGTAAACTCACTTTATTCCATTCAGGTAGAGCCCAATTACCAAATTAAGAAATATGCACGTCTTCAGATAAAAATTTCTAGATGATACAATTACAATTTTTAATTTCCCAAAGATTTATTCCTTCAGTATCCTTACTCTCCAAACATACAAATCTTGAATACTTTTAGATTGTAGCTGTAAGCTACTTCATAACACGGGAGGGGAGGTGCAGGCCTAGTCATTAGGCAAGATCATTAACTCTGCATGTCTTACAATAAGAGTTTTTCCATTCTTAATTTTTTTTTCTAAAAGTAATAAATCATTTAGAAAATGGTCTCAAGTAGTCATTTGTCATAATATCTTGAGGAAAGTTTCTCTTACAGGTCTCAATTTCTATTGTTTGGTTTCAATAAAATGTGCTGAAGGTTTATTCTTTTGTATTAAGAAAAGTCTTCACATCAGAAATTCTTCATTCTAATACTCACCCAAGGTTTTAAACCTACATCCTAGGATATGTATATTTATTCAGCTAACATGTCAGTCTCTTCTTTCTGCAGGATGACTACCTGTGATTATTCCTTCAGTTTCTCAATTCACTCACTCACAAGTATGCTTGATGGAGGGTCATACCTGAGAGTCAGAAAGGCCAGTTCCATGTTCTGTGAGGTTTACATTCTTATGGAAGAAAATAAATATGTAAACAAAGAAATATGTACTGTGATTGTCGTTATAAGTTCTATAGAGGAACAAAATTAGAATAAGTAATCAAAAGCTAGGAAAAGTGAATGGGGTAGGAACTACTTTAAAGGTAGTCAGGGACAAGAGCCATCCGAATCTGAGGTCATGATGTTTGGGCAGATATCTGACTCCTGGGCAGGAGTGAGTCTGAGGAGATGTGTGGGTGGAGTATTCAGCTCAGAGGTGCAGAAGGTGACATGGCTTCAGGATGGATCAACTTTTTTGTGTTCCAGAAGTACCAGGAAAGTCATGGTAAGCAATGAGAAGTGGTAAGAGATAAAGTAGAAGAAATAGTGGGGAAGGGCAGTTCATGGAATGATTTTCATGCCATTGGACATATTTAGCTTTTAGCTTAAATGCAGTGAAAACTGTAGCAGGCACAGCTGCTGCCACATTTAGAAATATTTTCTGATCCATTTATCAGGTGTATTAGGGTTCCCCACAGAGACAGAACCAATACAATGGATGGATGGATAGATTAGATAGATATATTACATAGATAGATAGATAGATTATAAAAGATTGATAATTAATTATCACATCAGATTACTTAGAAGGCTGCTACTTTTGAGTAGGATCTATAGCAAGAGACAAATTTGTGGCAAGGTCAGATTTTAGGTCAGTCTTACTGCTTGGTCCATATGACCTGGCAAATTCCAAAATTCTAAAAGTATCCACAGTAAATAATGGTAATATGTCACATCTCAGGCCAGCACCAATATATAAGTTACAATGCAGACTCTTTGGGTTCTGAAGCAAGGTCACACGTTATGCAGAGGAGAGATGTTCACTGTTTAAAAAGCTCCCTTGGAATGGTATTGGGCCCCAGTAGAGACAGTGCCTGACCATGGAACATCAAATGTCTATGTAACCAGAGCCAACCATTTTAAGCTAGTTATTTTCATCCACCATGTAATAAGGTTTGGCAGAAAGAGCAACAGTGCATCATATAAAAGAAGTGCTACATTTAAGATCAGCCCTAAGCAAATGGCTCAGAACTTCATGACATCCCTTGCACCAATGACTCTTCCTCGGTGTAATTACATGTGAGTTTTCATGGGATGTTCATCAGGACCATCTGATAGAGGAGGAAAAACCTGACCAAGTTCAGAGGTGGGTTTACCCACTGACAAAGACTCTTTGCTTGGCCAAACTTTAGTCAGGCTTTTGAACCTTCTAGGCCTATCTGCATACTTTCTCATAAAATTCAGTTTTAGCAAAGAACCCTGATAAATCAGTTTAGCAAGAAATCTTCACCCTTGATATCTGATCATCCTTCATATCTGACTGGGTTTCTCATCCCCCACCATCTCCCAGGTGATGTCTTATCACCCTGACCTGTCTTCAGCAAAAATCCTGTTAGGATGGTTTAGCCAGAATCTCCCTTATCCCTGATGTTTCCTCTTAGTAATTTTCCGTCCACTGACCCCCATCCTGCTCCTCTGCTATAAATTCCCACTTGCTGATACTGTTTTTGGAGGTGGACTGCACCTTTCTCCCCTATTGCAAGATCTCTCTTACAGTGGCCCCTAAACTTATTACCAATGTCCTGAGTAAAGTCTTTCTTAACATGCTTTAACGAGTGTCATTGAATAGTTATTTTCTTTAACACCACATAAAATTTTGTACATAAATATTCGTAGTAGCATTATTTATAATACCCAAAAAGTATAAACTACCCAAATTTATACCAACTGATTAATAAGGAAAACATGGTGTAACCATAAATGGTATATTATTCAACCATGAAAATAAATTAAGGAGGGGGAGGTTCAAGCTGGCTGACTAGAAGCAGCTAATGTGCACTGCTCGCATGGAAAGGAAACAAAGAGTTTGAGTAAATACCACCTCTTCAGGTGTATCATCTAAGAGATCATGCTGGGATTTACCAAGGAAGTGACAGGACCCACAGAGAATGGAGAGGAATAAAGCTGGGCAGCTGCCCACTCAGAACCGGCATGGAACCAGGGGAAGCTCCCTAATATAGGGAAAAGATTAGGTGAGTGAGAGACCCCAGAAGATCCATACTTCCACCATTGATCTTTGCAATTCTGGGAATGGGAGGACCCATGGCTTCCCCCCGAGGGACTCCGGATTGACAAAGAAAGCCACCTGGAGTCTTTGTAGAGTCGCTGCTCAAGCCTATGTGGAGCCCCACAGGTCTTGGATCCCTAAGCAGCTTGGCGCCAGCTGCTGTATCCCCAATAGAGGCCATAGCCACACTGCTGAAGAGTGGCCAGATTGCCCTGACTACCCCGCTGTTTCTCACCAGGCAAGGCTCCCTGTGCAGCAACTCTACCTCTGTCTGAACACCGGGGACAGTTCTGGCCCTGTGCTCCCCCAGGAAGTGCCCAGACAGCAGACTGTGTGACCCCTGCCCCAGCTGCACCTTGCCAGGCAGGGCTCGTAGGCTTGGGGTCCCAGCATAGTGACTCTGCCCCTGCCGGAACACTGTGGTCAGTCATGGCTCTGCTTTTCTCTGGTACAAAACTCCAAGATAACAGGCAAGGCTTGGCACCTCCTTTGTGTGCCTGCAACAGTGAAGTGGGAGAGAAATGCAAGTGTGTCACATGCCTGGCAGCCACCAGTCTCTATTGGCATAGCTAAAGGGTCCTGCCCTCCCCAGTAAAGGCCCACAGCACAGCCACCCTGCTCCATCTGAGCATTTTACCTGCATCCCAGAGCCCTTCTGAAAACTCAAGCCCCACCAGTCTGTAATATTCCCTCAGGAGGCTCCCACTACCTAAGTATCCTACTTAACCCTGCTTGAAAGTTCAGCCAGTGACCTGAGGACCAGTCCACCCCTCCCCATCACAGCCAGCACCTGAACTTTGGACCAGCCGGACCTGGGTCCAGCTCCTTCAGGACACATACACATTCTCCAGCGGGCCATGTATTGTGCTAGGGACTGAGGAACTCTCTACCCCATTCTAACTCTGTAGCATCTGATCATTTCTCCCAGGGCCTGAGCTCAGGCCGACTCAACCATCCAATATCACCACACCATTACCAACATGTATGGGCCCAAAGGTGGAGCCCCTCTTTAAAGAAGCAGCAGTACTGCTATATTTGAGAACAGATAAGCCATAAAGCTATCTGTATCAGGCTGAGTGATGAGGTAATGCCCTAAAACCACACCCACAGAGAGTTGCAAATTCATCATTTCCCATGGCTGTCAATCACATTGTGGTCCAGAGATATGCTACAATGTGCATATGAACTAGGAGTCACAAGCCCTGGAACAAGAATGTGATAGGGAAACATCAAGTTGCTGCCTATCAAGGAAGGGGAACCAGTGCAGCTCCCTCACTCCCACACAGAGACTTCAGTGCACTTCACCAAGGCCTCCTCCAAGCCACCCTTGTCAGGGCTGGTACCTGCACTTGCCATCAGGACATTTGTGGGCAAGTCAGGGGCTCAGCTCTGCCCAGCTCTGTCCCCTCATCCACATGGAACAACACTGTCCAGCCCTTCACCTGAAACAACAGAGAACACCTCACAGTAAAAAAGGATCAGATACATACTCACCTGCTATGCCACAGCTAGTTCTTTCCTGCAAGCACCATCTACTGGCCAGTCCATCTAACCACACAGCCCAATATAAATCCTGCCAATAGAAGTGCATAGGGCTTTACAAGCAAAGCCAAAGATCCTGCCCAACACACTCCTCTCCAGATGGGAAGAAACCAGTATAAGAATTATGTTATCATGAAGAATCTGAATGTTGCAACACCACCAAAGGATCACTCTAGCTCTTCAGCAGTGGGTCCTAATCAAAATGGAAACTCAGAAATGACAGATACAGAATTCAAAGCATGGATTGGAAGAAAGCCCAATGAGATCAAAGAAAAGGTTGAAAATCGCACAAAGAAACTTCTGAAGCAATCCAGGAAATGAAGAAAGAGATAAACATTTTTAAAAGAAGCTGATTAGAGCTACTGGAATTGAAAAACTCACTTAAGGAATTTCAAAATACAATTGAAAGCTAGACTAAGCAGAAGAAGCAATTTCAGAGTGTGAAGGCTGGTCTTTTTTAAAAACAAACATTCAAGAAAAAACAATTTTAAAAAATGAACAAAGTCTTCAAGAAATATGAAATTAGTTAAAGTGCCAAACATACAAATTATTGGCATCCCTGGGAGAGGAGAAAAAGTAAACAACTTGAAAAACATATCTGAGAGAATAATTCAAGAAAATTTCCCTAATATGGTTAGAGAGATAGACATCAAGATACAAGAAATCTAGAGAACACCTGCCTGATAATATACAAAATGGTCATCACTAATGCAAAGTCACCAGGCTAAGGTCAATGCCAAAGAAAAAATCTTAAGGACAGTTAGAAAAAATATCAGATCCCATACAAAGGGAACACCATTAGACTAACAGCAGACTTCTCAGCAGAAACCTTACAAAACAGAAGAGATTAAGGCCCTATATTCAGCATTCACACAAAAAAAGAAATTTATATTCCGCCAAAGTAAGCTTCTTAAGTAAAGAAGAAATAGAATTCTTTCTAGACAAGAAAACACTTAGAAAATATGTTACCACTACACCAGCCTTACAAGAAATTCTTATGGGAGTTCTAAACATAAAAACAAAATAATAATACCTGCTGCCACAAAACACACTTAAGTATATAGCCAACATACCCTATAAAACATCTACACAATCAAGTCTACGAAACAACCAGCTACAAATATGACAAAAGGATCAAAACCTTACATATCAATATTAACCTTGAATATAAACAGTCTTAACATCCCACTTAAAATGCACAAAGTAGTAGTCAGATAAAAAAACAAAAGCCACTCATTCACTGTCTTCAAGAGATCCATCTGACACGTAATGACACCCATAGGATCAAAGTAAAGAGTTGGAGAAAGATATATCATGCAAACAGAAGACTTAACTATCCTAAATTATATGAACCCAACATTGGAGCACCCAGATTCTTAAAACAAATACTTATAGACTTATGAAAAGATTCATACAGCCACACAATGATAGTGGGGAGCTTCAGCACCCTACTGCCAGCATTAGACAGATCATCAAGGCAAAAAACTAACAAGAAATTCTGGACTTAAGTTCAGCATTTTACCAGTTGGACCTCAGATATCTACAGAATACCCCACCCATTAACCACAGAATATACATTCTTCTCATCTGCACCTGAAACATACTCTTAAGATCAACCACATGGTTGGCCATAAATCAAGTGTCAATGAGTTCAAAAAGTCAAAATCATACAAACTATACTTTTAGATCGCTGTAGAATAAATAATATAAATCAATACCAAGAAGATATCTCAAAACCACACAATTACATGCAAATTAAACTTCTCCTGAATGACTTTTGGGTAAGCAAAAAAATTAAGGCAGAAATCAAAAAATTCTTCAAAGTTAAAGAAAACAGAGACACAGCATACCAAAATCTCTGGGATGCAGCAAAAGCAATGTTAAGAGGAAAATTATAAATGCTAAATGCCTATATCAAGAGGTTAAAAAGATGTCTACAATCTAACATTATACCTAGAAGAAATAGTAAAACAAGGACAAATTAGCCCCAGAGCTAGTAGAAGAAAACAAATAACTAAAATCAGAGCAGAACTGAACAGAATTGTGACCCAAAAATCATATAAAGTATTAATGAAATCAAAAGCTAATTCTCTTAAAGGGTAAACAAGACTGATAGACCACAATCTAAAGTAACCATGAAAAAGAGAGAGAAAATTCACATAACCACAACCAGAAATGACAATGGTGACATTACAACTGATTCAAAAGTAATACAAAGGATCCTCAGAGGCTAAGGAACTCAACTCTGTTCACACAAACTAGAAAATCTACAGAAAATGGATAAATTTCTGGAAACACACAACCTCTCAAGACCGAATCAGGAGGAAACTGAAACCCTGAACAGACAAGTATGAGCTCCAAAATAGAATCAGTAACAAAATAAAACAACCAGCCAAACAGAGCTCTGGACCAGATGGATTCACAGCCAAATTCTATCAGACATACAACGAAGAGCTGGTACCAATCCTACTGAAACTATTCTAAGAAATTGAGGAGGAGAGACTCTTCTGTAACCCATTCCACAAAGCCATCATCCCTCTGATATCAAAATCTGGCAAAGACACAACAATAGAAAAAAACAGGCAAATATTCTTGATTAACATAGATGCCAAAATCCTCAGCAAAATACTAGCAAGCCAAATCCAGCAGCACACCAATAAGTTAATTCAACACAATAAAGTAGGCTTTATTCTGGGGATATAGGGTTAGTTCCACATATACAAATAAACAAATATGACTCACAACATAAACAGAATTAAAAATAAAGGCCATATGATTATCTCAATAGACATATAAAAAGCTTTTGATAAAAATCTCAAATCCCTTCATGATAAAAATCCTGAACAAACTAGGCATTAAAGGAACATACCTAAAATAATAAAAGCCATATGTGACACACTCAAGCCAACATGTACTGAATGGACAAAAGCTGGAAGCATTCCCCTTAAGGACTGGAACACTGAATGGGCAAAAGCTGGAAGCATTCCCCTTAAGGACTGGAACAAGACAAGAATACTCACTCTCACCACTCCTGTCCAACATCATACTGGAAGTCTTAGCCAAGCAACCAGGCAATAGAAAGAAATAAAAGGCACCCAAATAGGGAAACAAGAAGTCAAATTATTTCTCTTTGTTGATATGATGCTATATCTAGAAAACCCTACAGACTTTGCCAAAAGGCTCTTAGAACTGATGAACAACTTCAGTAAATTTTCTGATTACAAAATATATGTGAAAAAAAATAGTAGTATTTATATAGATCAATAATGTTCAACCTGAGAGTCAATTCAAGAACATATTCTCATTTACAACTGGCACACACAAAAAATAAAATACCTAGGAATACATCTAACCAAGGAAGTGAAAGTTCTGTACAAGGATAATTATAAAACACTGCTGAAAGAAATCATAAATGGCACAAACAAATGGAAAACCACTCCAAGCTCATGAATTGGAAAAATCAGTGTCTTTAAAATAGCCATATTGCCCAGGACAATATACAGATTCAAAGCTATTCCTATCAAGCTACCAATATCATTTTTCACAGAAATAGAAAACATATTCAAAAATTCATATGGAACTCAAAAAGTGCCTGAATAGCCAAAGCAACCCAAAGTGAAAAGACCGAAACCAGAGACAGCAGATTATCAAACTTCAAGCTATGCTACAAGGCTACAGTAACCAAAACAGCATGGTACTGGTACAAAACAGACGCATAGACCAGTGGAAAAGGATAGTGAACCCAGATACAAACCCTCACACAACCATATGATCCTTGACAAAGTTGACAAAAGCAAACAATGGGGAAAGGACCCCCTATTCAATAAATGATGCTGGGATAACTGGCTAGCCATATGCAGAACAATCAAATTAGACCCCCAACCTTCACCATATACATAAATTAACAAAATATGGATTAAATACTTAAATGTAAGACATACCACTGTAAAAACATTTTGAGAATACTTAGTTAATATCATTCTGGACATTGGATTTGCCACAAATGTATGACTAAGCCCTCAAAAGAAATTTTGACAAAAACAAAAATTGACAAGTGGGATCTAATTAAACTAAAGAGCTTCTGTACAACCAAATAAATCATCAACAGAGTAAATAGATGACCTATACCATTGTAGAAAACTTCACAAACTATGCTCCCAACAAGTTTTAATATCTTGAATCAATAAGAACCTTAAACAATTCAACCAACAAAAACCAAATAACCCCATTAAAATGTGGGCAAAGGATATAAAAAGATACTTCTCAAAAGAAGGCATGCAAGTGAACAACAAACATGAAAAGAATGCTCCACATCACTAATCATCAGAAAAAATGTAAGTCAAAACCACAATGAGACATTATCTGAAACCAGTCAGAACGGCTGTTATTAAAAAGCCATAAACAACAAATGCTGGTGAGCCTGCAGAGGAAAGGGAAGGCTATACACTGTATATATATATATAGCTATATACACTGTATACAGCTGTACATACTCTATACACTGTATATAGCTATACAGCAGTTATACACTGTTGGTGTATAACACACACACTGTTGGTGTGTAACTAATATAAATTAGTTCAACCACTGTGGAAGCAGTTTGGAGATTTCTCAAAGAACTTAAAAGAGGACTATTATTTTACCCAGCAATCCCATTACTGTGTATATACCCAAACAAAATAAATCATTTTACCAAAAAGACAAATGCACTTGTCTTTTTGGTAATTATATCCAGCATAATATCACCTTGGACCAAGGAATCCACATTTGTTCAGGGAGTTGTGACAATGGGCATATGACCCTGGGATCCACCACTCCTGTCTTCTAGTATATCATGAAAAAGCTGGTGGATCGATAGAGTAAACATTGAGATGATGTGGGAGGCAAAATTCTAAGATGGATCCCCAAGATTTCCAGTCCCTGGTGTTTTTTCACATCTGATATGATTTGAATCTGTGTTCTCAATCAAATCTCATGTTCAGTTATAATTCCTAATGTTGAAAGTGGGGCCTGGTGGGAGGTGATTGGATCATGGGGGCAGATTTCCCCCCTTTAATGCTGTTCTCATGATAGACTTCTCACGAGATCTGATTGTTTAAAAGTCTGTGGCACCTCCCCTATACCTCTCTGTCCCTCCTGCTCCAGCCGTGTAAGATGTGCCTGCTTCTCCTTTGTTTTCTGCCATGATTGAAAGTTTCCTGAGGTCTCCCCAGCCATGCCTTCCGTACACCCTGTAGAAATGTATAAATTACCAGTCTCAGGTAGTTCTTTATAAATTACCCAGTTCTTTTCTTTATAAACTACCCAGTCTCAGGTAGTTCTTTATAGCAGTGTGAGAATGGACTAACACAACATCTTCCCCCAGGTATTCAACCAAATGCTAATCTAGGTATTGCTGTGAATTGCTGTGAATGTTTGGCAATATTTGAAGATGTTTTTGGTGATCAGAGCTTGATGAGAACTATGCGACTCACATCAGTGGGTTGAAGTCAAAGATGCTGCTTAATGTTCTAAAAGGCACAGGACATCCCTAATAATAAATAATTATATGACCCAAAATGTTAATAGTACTGAGGTTGAATAACTCTAACTTAGATCAACATAAATGCTAACCAGTTTTAAAGGGAATATACAAACAGTGGTAGGAAGGAGATTATAAGTAACAATTTCAGCATTAGAATCAATTATAGCAATGGCTCCTGTTGTATTTGTGTATTTAGAGGCTACGACAAGCCACTATCTTAGAATTAAGTAAGTTATTAATAGATTAGCGCAGTGCAAAATTATACTGTCAGTTAGCTCTCAATGTCTCATCCTTGGTCTCTGGCCACTTAAGTTTTTTAGGAATGCAGGTATGACTTGCAATTGCTAGTATCTGTGACTCTTTCCATGAGTGCTGTGTGTGTGTGTGTGTGTGTGTGTGTGTGTGTGTGTGTGTGTGTATCCACTGAAACCTGCTGCACCTGAGTTTTGGGCAGGCCAGAAATGCCAGGCAATTAATCCCTATATCCCCCAGCGAATACCCTTTGCAGGAACAGCCTAAAAAACGACTAACAAGAGCTGGCTTCTTTGCTCCTCCAGTGGGATAACTGAGATAACATATTCTACACTGCTTCTAGCATTTTGTATGAAGTTCATTTCCACTTCCTCAAAGTGGTGGCTTGCTTGGTGTCTTAGTCTACTTTCTGTCACTTATAGCAGATACTTGAAATTGGATAATGTGTTTATCCTAGCTCCCTGGTACCTCTGCATCAGCAGCTTTCTCCTCCTCATTTTCTCTAGAACATGTCTAATTACTCATGCCAAATTCTGATACCCTTCTCTATCCCCATCTCTTTCATTAGTGTACTCAGTTTCTATCCAACACTACCCAATACATAAAATTTATTTTTTATACTTCTGGAGGCTGGGAGGACCCAGGTCAAGGGCTTGCATCTGGTGAGGGCCTTCTTTCTGGTATAGACTCCTTGCAGAGTTCCAAGGTGGTGCAGGGTATCACATGATGAGGGGGCTGAACATAGTCTCTCAAGCCTCTCTTCCTCTTCTTATAAATCCACCAATCCTACTGCCTTGATTATAGCCCACTAAGCCATTATTAAGCCAGTAAGCCATTAACCCATTACTCCCTTACTGAGGGCAGAGTCATGTCTTCTCATGACCCAGTTATTAACACATCTTGAGTGCCTCACCTCTCAACAGTCTCATTGTGGATTAAGTTTTAACATGAGTTTTGGAGAGGACAAACATTCAAACCCTAGCAATTGGTAATATACAATTTATGACTTTATTCCTTTTACTTTCTTACTTCCCCTACAAGTGTTCCCTGGTATTACCTGTCAAATAAATTCTTATACTTTAATCCTTATCAAGGTCTGCTTCTGGAGAAACCCAAAGAAAGACAGAAAACTGTAAAGAGTTTTAAACCAGGAAATGACATGATCTAAATGATATTTTTAATGGCCCCTATAGCTATTTTATGACAAATGAATGTCTGGGAAAGGGTATAATCAGAGAAACTAGATGAAAAGCTCTTTCACTTGTTCAAGAGAGATACAGGGGGCTTGGACTCAGGTAGAAGCATCGGATGGGTAGTAACTAGATACACTAATGCAAAAGTTGGGGATACAGAAGAGTGCCAGATTTTGGCAGTAGTAATTAGGTGTGTTCTAGAGAAAATGAGGAGGAGAAAGTTGCTGATGCAGAGGTACCAGAGAGACAGAATGAAACAGAAGGAAGACAAAATTGTTTTTTGACATGTTCATTTTGTGAACTCAGACTTTGTATTAGTCTGTTTTCACACAGCTGATAAAAACCTACCTGAGACTGGACAATTTACAAAAGAAAGAAGTTTATTGGACTTAGAGTCTCACATGATTGTAGAGGCCTTACAATCATGGCGGAAGGCAAGCAGGAGCAAGTCACATCTTATGTGGAAGGCAGCAGGCAGAGAGAGAGAGCTTGTGCAGGGAAACTCCCGCTTTTAAAACCATTAGATCTCCTGGGACTTACTCACTATCATGAGAACAGCACAGGAAAGACCCACCACGATGATTCAATTACACCCCACTGGGTTCCTCCCATGACACATGGGAATTGTGGGAGTTACAATTCAAGAAAAGTTATGGGTGGAGGCTGGGCACAGTGGCTCATGCCTGTAATCCCAGCACTTCGGGAGGCCGAGGTGGGTGGACCACGAGGTCAGGAGATCGAGACCATCCTGGCTAACACAGTGAAATGCTGTCTCTACTACAAATACAAAAAAAATTAGCTGGTCGTGGTTGTGGACACCTGTAGTCCCAGCTACTTGGGAGGCTGAGCGGGGGAGAATGGCATGAACCCGGGAGGCGGAGCTTGCAGTTAGCTGAGATCGTGCCACTGCACTCCAGCCTGGGCAACAGAGCGAGACTCCGTCCCAAAAAAAAAAAAAAAAAACGATTTGGGTGGGAACACAGCCGAAGTATATCATTCCACCCCAGCTCCTCCCAAATCTCATGTCCTCACATTTCAAAACCAGTCATTCCTTCCCAGCAGTCCTCCAAAGTCTTAACTCATTTCAGCATTAATTCACAAAGGTCCACAGTCCAAAGTAAGTCTAATCTGAGACAAAGCAAGTCCCTTTCACCTATGAGCCTGTAAAATCAAAAGCAAGTTAGTTATTTTCTAGATACAATGGGTGTACAGGCATTGGGTAAATACACCTGTTCCAAATGGAAGAAATTGGCCAAAACAAGGGGGCTACAGGCCCCACGCAAGTCTGAAATCCAACAGGGCAGTCAAATCTTAAATCTCCAAAAGAATCTCCTTTGACTCCAAGTCTCACATCCAGGTCACGCTGATGCAAGAGGCAGGTTCCCATAGTATTGGGAAGCCCCACTGCTGTCGCTTTGCAGGGTACAGCCTCCTTCCCAGCTGCCTTCATGAGCTGGCATTGAGTGTCTGCAGCTTTTCCAGGCACGCAGTGCAAGCTCTCAGTGGATCTACCCTTCTGGGGTCTGGAGAATGGCGATGGGCCTCTTCTCACAGCCCCACTGTGCCCCATAGGGACTCTGTGTTGGGGCTCCAACCCCACATTTCCCTTCTGCACTGCCCTAGCAAAGGTTCTCCATGAGAGCCCCACCCCTGCAGCAAACTTCTGCCTGGGCATCCAGGAGTTTCTATACATCCTCTGAAATCTAGGTGGAGGTTCCCAAACCTCAAATCATGGCTTCCATGCATCCACAGGCTCAATACCATGTGAAAGCTGCCACGGCTTGGGGCTTGCAACCTCTGAAGCCAGGGCCCAAGTTGTACCTTGGTCCCTTGTAGCCACGGCTGGAGTGGCTGGGACACGGGGTACAAAGTCCCTAGACTACACACAGCATGGAGACCTTGAACCTGGCCAATAAAACCATGTTTTCCTCCTAGGCCTCCAGTCGTGTGATGGAAGGGGCTGCTGTGAAGAGCTCTGATATGCCCTGGAGATATTTTCACCATTGTTTGGGGATTGACGTTGGGCTCCTCGTTACTTATGCAAATTTCTGCAGCTGGGCTTGAATTTCTCCTCAGACAATGGAATTTTCTATTCTATTGTATTTTCAGGCCTCAAATTTTCTGAACTTTTATGCTCTGCTTCACTTATAAAACTGAATGCCTTTAACAGCACCCAAATCATCTCTTGAATGTTTTGCTGCTCAGAAACTTCTTCTGCCAGATACCCTAAATCATCTCTCTTGAGTCTGAAATTCCACAAATCTCTCAGGCAGTGCCAAAATGCCACCAGTCTCTTTGCTAAAGCATAACAAGAGTCACCTTTGCTCCAGTTCCCAACAAGTTCCTCATCTCCATCTGAGACAACCTCAGCCTGGATTTCATTGTCCATATCATTATGAACATTTTGGTCAAAGCCATTCAACAAGTATCTAGGGAGTTCCAAACTTTCCCACATTTTCCTGTCTTTTTCTGAGCCCTCTAAACTGTTCCAACCTCTGCTTGTTACCCAATTCAAAAGTCACTTCCACATTTTTGGGTATCTTTTCAGCAGCACCCCACTCTACTGGTACCAATTTACTATATTAGTCTTTTTTCACACTGTGGATAAAGGCATACCTAAGACTGGGTTATTTACAAAAGAAAGAGGTTTAATGGACTTACAGTTCCACATGGCTGGGGAGGCCTGACAATCATGGCAGAAGGCAAGAAGGAGCAAGTCTCATCTTACATAGATGGCAGCAGGCAAAGAGAGAGAGAGCTTGTGCAGGGAAACTTTCATTTTTAAAATGATCAGATCTCATGAGACTTATTCACTACCACAAGAACTGCACAGAAAAGACCTGCCCCCATGATTCAATTACCTCCTACTGGGTTCTTCCCATAGCACATGAGAATTGTGGGAGTTACAATTCAAGATGAGATTTGGGTGGGAACACAGCCAAACCATATCTGACTTCCATAGTTAGATGCCAAGCAGACAGTTAATTGTGTGTATCTGGAGCTCAGGAAAGAGGTCAAAAAATATAGTTTAGAATAATTAACTTACAAATGGCATTTAACTGATTATTTAACCTAGAAAATAAAGTTTCAAAATTAATATTTTGCAAATTCTATTTGCTGTAAAATGCTTGCATGTTGAATTGAACAGAACTAGAAGCTGATATTTAGAAGAGACTTAATTCCTTTATTTTATTTGTTATTGCAAAGGAAGTCTCAGTCTTTACATTTTGTTTTGAGGGAATAGTGGGGAGATCTGTTTGCTCTGAGAATGATTTTCAAGTTCTGAGTATATATTTCCTTTAAACAGATGTGTACTAAAAATTGTATATCTTAGTATTTCATTTTATGAATGGAAAGTTTTAAAAGTATTTTTAGAAGTAAAACAATCATTCACTATTCTGAAATGATTATTATTTTTATGTATTACCTAGACTCATACCAGAAACATTATTTTGTATTTTGCTTTTTTAAATTTGCATGTTTTGAAAAGTTTCCAAGTTTGTCAGATGTATATTTTTAGAACATGCTTTTCAAAATCTGCGTAATATTTCATCACATGGCACTACCATAACTTTCTTATTGTTAGATATGTAATAAATTCACAATTTTCTTTATTATTATGAAGACATTGAATTTCACATCCTCAAGACTTTGACTGTACATTTGTTCATTTTCTTAGGTTAGATTCCTAGAAATGGGGAAATTCTTTAATTCTAAAATTTTTTTAAGGGTTTAGGACATATATTGCTATTTTGTCTACTGAACAAGCTGTGCACATTTACTACTGTCAGCTGAGCATGGGAATGCCTTTAATATTGCCAGTATTAAGTAGTATTGCCTTTGTCAATTTCATACCAAAAAAAGATACATTTTTATTTTATCTATATCTCTCTAATTGCTAAAGAGGCTTAATTTTTATATGTTCTTTATTTTTAACTTTCTCTTTTACTGTTTGCTCCAATCTTTTGCTCATTTTTCTAAGGAGAAAGGTTTGCATTTGTATTCATTTATAATTGTTTTGGCTGCCAAGAACTGTTATCTCTTTTTGCACAAATTTGTAAAACTTGTTCCTAGGTATCATTATCCTTTTCATTTTTGCTTTAATAACTTTGCTTTCAGAATTATACATTATATCTAATCAATGTAACTCTTCCTTTAATGTTGCTCTTTATATGTGTTTACGTATTCTTTCCTCATGCTGAATCCAGTAAATAATAACCATTTTTTAAATATTTTATTGTCTTCATTTTACACACTTGAAATCTTAATTCACTGAAAATAAAATTGGTTTGAAGTGTTATACATAAGAAAAGAATATCTCAAATTTCTTTCTAGCAGCATTGGTTGAAAATTATTTTACAATTTAAAGACATGATAGAGTCTGTTTCAATAACTTACTTAATTAATTTACAATACAATCATGTTATGGTTTGGAGTATCGTTTCTCATGCATTTTCATGTCCTTAATATAAAACTACTGTTACTATGCTTGTTGACAAACTTTGCCTCGTTTTTTCCTTCAAATTTCAGTTCAACTTAAGTTATCACTATTCTATCACCCCAATCCACTTATATCTATTAATGTACTTAGGAAAAGTGCCCTGCTCCTTAATGCTGGAGGTAGGGCTCTGAAAACTACATTTCCTTTAATAGTGTCTCTGTCTGAGTCTGCTAATAAGAAGTGCTAGCAGGAGGCGGCAAGGACAGGATCATGGGGCTTGCTTCTTCTCATCGGCTTCCTGTGGGAATTGTGCTCTTCTCTTCCCATGAGTATCTTCCTAGAATGCTTCTTCCCTTTGGTAGCAGCAATTCCTTCTTGTAGCAGCCACTGTATCCATTTTGCAGATTTCCGAACCCTCACAGAATCAGCCTCATCACGCCTCAGCACCCAGAAACCCAGCACCGTTGCCAATGCCCTCTCTTGACTCTGTGGGAGGCCCTCCTCGACTTCAAATTAATAATAAATCCAGCGTCTTCCCTGTTTCCTCAGCCTTAGCAGTGTTAACTGCGTCCGTTGGTGCTATCTCTGTGTTTCTACAGTTCTCTTTTGAGTCACCCAGTTGGCAGCTTCCTACTTCTACGTCCTGATTGGGTTCATTTGCTTTCCTGAGTGGACTCTCGCTAATAACTGGAAGCATAGCGTATCTCTTCATTTATTGTCTTCTTTGAACTCTGTTAACAGAAATTTATAGTTCTTGTTCTATACTCGTGTGACATATTTCTAGTTAATTATGAGGTACTTTATATTTTGTTGTTTGTGTGTGTGGGCTAGCTTTGTCATAAATCTTTGAGCAGGTCATTGCCAGAATAAAGGAAAACTTTTAATTCCATGTCGATTTTAAGTAATTAATTTTTTCTGAAGTTTAATGAAAGAAGAGAACTGTATGTTTCAGAGCATAATCACTGGAGATGTTTGTAGCTATGTTAAAAGTTTATGCTAATAGCATAAATGAAGTCTACCTGGTTCCATCAATGCCTGAATAATCTGACTGTATCACAATTGACATTCACTGGGAAAAAATGAAGAAGGCATAGTGGAGACTAACAAAGGACAAGGAAGATCACAGCAGACATTGCTAAAAATAAAAATTATTTCCAAAAGAAATGCTATTCATAGTGAATTATATATGTTATTGGTGATGATCTGTGAAGGCATAAAATAGAATTTCATTATTTTAGTATGAGAGTCTCGATAGGTCAATTTTGCCATAATCAAAACAAGTTCAAAAATAAGTGGAGTTATCATGGGATTTAAGTTGTTCAGGGAATTAGGTATGTAGTTGTAAAAGATCTTTATTTTGACTCCACTACTAATCCGGGGAGTGTGACTAATAAAATAAAAGTTAGTAGTTTTAGTTACAAAATGGCAGAGTTGATTGTTTGCTAACAGATTTCAATATGAATAAATATTACTGATGATATTGTTTTGTAGCTCTTCATTTCAGCCAAGGTCAAAATGAAGTAATTAAATTAAAGCTGCAGCAGGAGACTTTAGATCAGGTAGAAGGAGCACTTCTGCTACAAGGGCCATTTTGTAATGTATTTTGGGTACCTAGTTATGTTTTTCTTTAGAAAAGGGATAGACAAACCTTTCCTGTAAAGTGTCAGTAAATATTTTAGGCTCTAAAGCCAGACAGTCTCTGTCACAGCTATGCAATTCTGACTTTTTAATGCAAAAGCAGCCACAGGTAATACTAAACAAATAGGCATGGATATGTCCCAACAAGGCTTTATACAGTAGTCCCCTTTTATCCTCTATTTTGCTTTCCATGGCTTCAATTGCCTGTGGTCAAGCTTGGTCTGAAAATATTAAATGGGAAATTCCAGAAATAAACAATTCACGAGTTTTAAGTTGCCCACCATTCTGAGTAGCCTGATGAAAATCTTGCACTGTCCCTCTCCATCTTGTTCAGGATGTGAATTATCTTTCTCCAGCATCTCCATGCTGACTATGCTCCCTGCCACCTAGTCATTTAGTAGCCCTTTTGGTCATCAGATCACCTATCCTGGTATTGCAGTGCTTGAATTCATGTAATCCTTATTTTACTTAATAATGTCACCAAAGCACAAGCATAGTGATGGTGGTAATTCTGACATGATAAGTAGAAGCTATAACACACTTTTTTAAAAGTAGAAACATGAAAGTTCTAGACTTAATAAGAATAAAAATTGTAATTTGAGGTTGCTAAGATCTACAGTAAGAACAAATCTTCTATTTAAAAGTAGAAACATGAAAGTTCTAGACTTAATAAGAACAAAAATTGTAACTTGAGGTTGCTAAGATCTACGGTAAGAACAAATCTTCTATCTGTGAAATTGTGAAGAAAGAAGTCTCACAGTATAATGTTTTAATTGTTCTATTTTATTAGTAATTGTTGATAATCTCTTAGTGTATCAAATTTAACTGAAACATTATCACAAGCATGTATGTATTGGAGAAAACATGATGTACATACGGTTCAGTACTACCAATGTTCTTAGGCATGCACTAGGCGTCTTGAAATGAATCTTTCATAGACAAGGGAAGACTACTTTATACGAAACAAGCAGCAGGCCAGATTTGGGTCATAGATTGAATATTGCCAACCCCTGTTTTAGAAGACTGGAAACAGAAATTGTAAAATCAACTCTCCAGGTAGAACCATTTTGGGAGATTTATATTTTGGCACGTCTCAAAATATGGTGGTAGCTTGGGGATTCTATGCCACCAAGCTTTCTATTCCTTTTTGATTCCCTTCTTAGTATAATATTGGACAGCCATACCTTTCAGTCTTCAGAATTATCACTCCGAAAAGAGTGGTGTGATTTCTTAACAATGTTACTGATAAAAAATTAATTTTTTTTGTGATTTAGGCATACTCAATTTTGTTTTTATCATATTAAATTGAAAAAGTTAATATACCGGCTTGCCTGTCTTCACCCCCTTGTAAGGAAATTTGTACCACTTGTAGCTGTTTTTAGTTAGGCGGGTATATTTTCTGTTGTAAAGCTCTCTCACTCCCAGGACCCAGAGAATGTGCTTAATCTAGGGAAGCCCTACCACAGGCTGGACACCATGCTAAAATGAGACTGCAAGATATGCAAACTGGAAAGTTGCCAGAGGCCAGGCAGATAATATAAAAGAATGAAGGAGGCCAGATTAAACAGTAGCTCACTTTCTTCTGCTTAGAAGCTCTTCTCTAAAATATGCCAGGGCATAAAGACAAAGATAAAAGCCAAAGAATCTCAGCCTTATTGTAGGACAGAGTTGGGAGTGGTGGCAACCTGGAGAGCACAGGCTCTGTCCAGGGGACTGTAGCTAATCAGCACCAAGTAATTGTTAGCATAAACAAAATGCCAAGTGTTGTCAGCTCTTGTTTTTTCAAGGGATGGCAAAAATTAGGATATTTTGGTAAAAGTTACCAATTTATAAATATTGGGAGTTAATACAATTTTTTAATACTTTAGTGGAGGGGAGGCAAGAGTATCTATGCTCAAAACATATCTGAAAGTTTAAAATGACTATTGAGTCACCATTTACAACTTCTATAGTACACATTGATTTTCTTTTTGGGGAACATGAATTTGGAAAGATAATGAGGCATACAACAGGCTTATATAACATGTATAATGGGAGGAAAGGAACTGACAAAACATGAGGTGGAGTTGGAGCCATGGCAAGATGAAGCTGTCTGTACCTAGAACATAGTCCATGCCTTGTAAATATTTGCTTTTCAATGGGGATAAGCATATTTTCAACTTAAATATTTGAACAACCATGAAGTATGAGTAAGCAGAGTTAAGTCAATTGGTAGAAACTCAATTGAGAGAAGAGCAGAAAAGACACGCGAAGAAAAATTGAAACTCAAGAGGAGGTAATTAAGTCTGTGAAAAAGAAGAGAAGACAGTCTGGTCCTTGAAGTTGCCTCCTCTCATGGTACTTTTTCTTTCTAGTTCTAGACTTTTTCCTCTTGTAATCTTACAGCAAAACTTCTTATCCTGAGCTGACTTGGATGGATTTTTTAAATATATATACTTAAAAGAACCTGAACCAAGCATAAAACATTATAGCGTATATCTGGTTGTTTTAGGTAGTGAGTACAGGGTCATGGTGGTTAATCTTACATGTTGTATCCCAAGAAAACTCACATGCAAGATAGATAGAATTGCAAAACACAAGAATTATTTATGTCCAACAATGTACTTTCTTATTAATTCACTTAAGATTATAATATTTGTTACCTGTCATTCAAAGCATCTGATGCAATATTTGGTACCAGTGATAGTTTGAGTAATAAAAAATAATTAGAATAAAGAATGCAGTCATTTAAAAAATACAAATTTAATGAAAGGGGTTTTGGTTCTATGATGAAATGGTTTTAATGTTATAGTTTCTGGGAAACTGGAATCTTGAAGGTTTTGATTTAAATTCCTTTAAATTGAAATTAATAAACTTAAAACTTACTTTTAAAATATAGAAATACTTTGATAAAACCCAATTTGTCTATGCTTCATAATATAAAAGAGTGAATTTCATCTACTTATCACATATATTTACATGATTATTTTAGTGCTATCACTTCCTGTCATATTAAAATACTTTAAATATATGTTTCAATAACAAATTTTGGATTTATGGAAACCAGCAGATTAACTCTTATATTTTGATGGGTAATGAGCTCACTTGCTCCATATGACTTGACTGATCTGGCCATTCTAAGATTGAATATCAGATTACTCTTCTCTAAGTAATATGTCCATTTTAGCTTTGCCATTTTGGGGGGAATAGTGAACCTATCAAAAGCATTGAGTTTGCCTTAATGTGCTCTATGTTATGAAGCTAATATGAATTTATCTTGTCCCCTGATCTATGGTTAAGATAAAATAATTTTAGGAGTCTTTAATCCTAGACTTTCAATCCCAAATTGGCAAATTACCTAAATATATCTGGAAAAGATGCAATCTCAGCTATGTCTTTGACATCTGAATGCAAAGAAGGTGAAATAACACATGGGGCAATTTATTGATGTGATAAGACAAGGAGAAAATGTTTTTATTGTATATATTTAAAGTGCACAACCTGATATTTTGATATACCTATATATTGTATAATAGTTACCATAATTAAGCTTATTATCACATCTATCACCTCATACAATTGCCATTGTTTTCTTGCGGTTAGAACACTTAAAATCTACTCTTAGCAAATTTCAAGTACATTATTAACTATTGTCATCATGCTACACATTAGATCTTCAGAATATATTCATCTTAGAAAGTTTGTACTGTATGACAGAAATTCTCTTATTTCCTCCCCCATCCCATAACCTGGCAACCATTGTTCTTTTTTTTTTTATATTTATTATACTTTAAGTTTTAGGGTACATGTGCACAATGTGCAGGTTAGTTACATATGTATACATGTGCCATGCTGGTGTGCTGTACCCATTAACTCGTCATTTAACATTAGGTATATCTCCTAATGCTATCCCTCCCCCTCCCCCCTCCCCACAACGGTCCCCAGAGTGTGATGTTCCCCTTCCTGTGTACATGTGATCTCATTGTTCAATTCCCATCTATGAGTGAGAACATGCGGTGTTTGGTTTTTTGTCCTTGCGATAGTTTACTGAGAATGATGATTTCCAACTTCATCCATGTCCCTACAAAGGACATGAACTCATCATTCTTTATGGCTGCATAGTATTCCGTGGTGTATATGTGCCACATTTTCTTAATCCAGTCTATCATTGTTGGACATTTGGGTTGGTTCAAAGTCTTTGCTATTGTGAATAGTGCCGCAATAAACATACATGTGCATGTGTCTTTATAGCAGCATGACTTATAGTCCTTTGGGTATATACCCAGTAATGGGATGGCTGGGTCAAATGGTATTTCTAGTTCTAGATCCCTGGGGAATCGCCACACTGACTTCCACAATGGTTGAACTAGTTTCCAGTCCCACCAACAGTGTAAAAGTGTTCCTATTTCTCCACAACCTCTCCAGCACCTGTTGTTTCCTGACTTTTTAATGATTGCCATTCTAACTGGTGTGAGATGATACCTCATTGTGGTTTTGATTTGCATTTCTCTGATGGCCAGTGATGATGAGCATTTTTTCATGTGTCTGTTGGCTGCATAAATGTCTTCTTTTGAGAAGTGTCTGTTCATATCCTTTGCCCAGTTTTTGATGGGGTTGTTTGTTTTTTTCTTGTAAATTTGTTTGAGTTCATTGTAGATTCTGGATATTAGCCCTTTGTCAGATACTCACCTGGCAACCATTGTTCCATTCTGTTTCTATGAGTTCAGCATTTTTAGATTCCATGTATTTAACTGAGATTATGCAGTATTTGCCTTTCTGTTTCTGGCTTATTCCACTTAGCATAATGTTTTCTAGATTCATCCATTTTATTGCAAATCAGTATTTCATTCTTTTTCTAGGCTGAATAATATTCTACTCTATGTAACTATATCTATAGATAGACATCACATTTTCTTTATCCATTCATTTGTCAATGAATATTGAGGTTGATTCTACATCTTGGCTATTGGGAATAATGCTGCAATGCACGTGGGAATGCAGAAATCTCTTCCAGATACTAATTTTACTTTCTTTGCATATATTCCCAGAAATAGGTTTGCTGGATCATGTGGTAGCTATAATTTTAGTGTTTTAAGGAATCTCCTTACTTTTTTCCATAATGGCTATACCAATTTATATAATAGTTTCAATAATGTACAAGTGTTTCCTTTTCTCCAATCCTCACCAATATTTATTATCATTTGACTTTTTAATAATAACCTTTCTAACAAGTGTGAGGTGACATCTCGTTGTTTTGATTTGCAATTCTTTGATAATTAGTTGAGCACCTTTTCATATACATGTTGGACATTTGTATATCTTCTTTGGATAAATCTCTATTCAGGTCCTTTGTCCATTTTTAACTATTTTGCTACTGTGTTGTATGAGTTCTTTATATATTTCGAATGTTAAACACTGTCAGATATAAAGTTTGCAAATATTTTGTCCCATTCTATAGGTGGCCTTTTCATTTTGTTGATTTTTCCCTTTCCTCTGCAGAAACTTTTTAGTTTGATGTAGTCCCACTTGTTTATTTTTGCTTTTGTTGCTTGTGCTTTTGGTGTGATATCCAAAAAAGCATTGTCCAGACCAATGTCATGTGGTTTTCCCCCTATATTTCTTCTAGGATTTTTATGGTTTCAAACCCTATATTTAAGTCTTTAATTCACTTTGAGTAGTTTTTGTATGTGGTGTAAGATAAGGGTCCAATTTTATTGGATATAACCAATTTATTTTTGGGTATATCCAGTTTTCCCAGCCCCTTCATTGAAGGGACGGCCCTTTCCCCATTGTGTATTTTTGATGCCTTCATTGAAGATTAGTTGAGTTTGTATGAGTTTTTATTTTCCTTTATTTTGAGCTCTCAATTCTACTCTATTGGTGCAAAAGTCTGTTTTAATGCCAGTTCCATGCTGTTTTGATATAGCTTTATAAAATACTTTAAAATCAGGTAGTGTGATGCATCCAGTTTTGTTCTTCTTGTTCAAGATTACTTTTGGTCTTTTGTCTACTCAGGGATCTATTCAGGAACTCTTGTGCTTCCACACAAATTTTAGGATTTTTTTTCTATGTCTGTGAAAAATGTCTTTGAAGTTTTGATAGAGATTGAATTGAATCTTTAGACAACTTTAGGTAATATGGACATTTTAACAATATTAATTATTCTAATCTATTAACAGAATATATAATTACATTTGTGTCTTCTTCAATTTTTTATCTTTTTTTCTAAGTTTCTGTGTATAGATCTTTCATCTCTTTGGTTACATTTATTCATAAGTATTTTATTCATTTTGATATAAATGGAATTATTTTATTAATATCTTTTGGGTAGTGTGTTGTAGTGTACGTAAATGCAACTGTTTTGTAGGTTGATTTTGTATTCTGCAACTTCACTGAATTTGTTCGTTCTAACAATTTTTTTGTGCATGTAATGTTTAGAGTTTTGTATATATAAAAATCATGTCATGAGCAGAGAGTTTTACTCCTCATTTCAAACTTAGATATATTTTACTTTTTTTTCTTGCTTAATTGCTCTGGCTAGAACTTCTAGTACTATATTGAATAGAAATGCTGAGAATGGACATCCATATTTTGTTTCTGATTTTAGAGGAAAAGTATTCAGGTTTTCACTGCTGAGTATGATGTTAGCTGTGGGCTTGTAATATATGGCTTTTATATGTTGAAGAATATTTCTTCTATACCTAATCCACTGAGGGTTTTTAATCATGAAAAGACATTGAATTTTGTCAAATACTTTACCTCTCTATTGAGTTGATTATAATTTTTATCCTTCCTTCTGTTAATATTGTATATTATATAAGGAAATGTTAATATTATATATTCCATAAGAAAAAAGTATTAATTATGAATTATGTAAAGTTTTTCACAATATTTCTGAAGTGGAAATCCATATATTTAATAGATTATTCATAATTTGCAACTTCAATAGATGGTTAATTTTTCTGATCTGTTTTGAAATATACATTTGTATTTTTTTTAATCATTGGTACAATTAGAGACAGGAAAATCTGGGCCCATGTTAGATGATCTTTCTATTTGAAACCACTGTGGAGACATTGTGTATTTATTATCTAAAAGACTTAGGACTTCAAAACCGGGAGTAAATAGAACACTATATTTTAAGCTAGTAAGTGTACTGCCAAAATAATGAAAAACTGACTGTTTATAGAGCCAGCAGAGGATGACTTAGTGACGGGGCAAACCTAACTTAGAATATTTTTTTTCAAAAGGTGATAGGATAGGAGATGGGGGAAGTTCCTCCTAGTAGGGAACTATACTTATTTTTCTTATTGCCAATTAATGTGGGTGGCACATTGTAGTTATTGCTTGTTTATTAACCCACATTTTTCTATGTAATGTTGCTCTAATGCATTGAAGAACTTTGTTTACAAATAGAAAAATAAACAAACTAACACATAGTTCAGTGTAAAATTCTTTGGCAATAGCATGTAATTGAACAGGTTTTGAAACACTGCTTTTCCCTCTGGGTTTTGAAAATATTTGGTGTTATGTTCCTATAATCTTAAAATATTCATTTATATAGTTTGCTTTTACATTTAAAACTACATTTTAAGAAACAAAATGTTAATATATGACATCATGGCAAGCATGATAGACTTTATGAACATACTTGAGAATCAGGTCATTCTGTTGTAATCTATATAATAAAGCAATAACCTTCTGGGCAGCAACAATATATTTATCATATTGAGAAGGAGAAAATGTTGACTAATAAACCACAAAATTCTGAGCTCCTTTAATTTTTCCCATATGAAAGATATGGTTTCTGTGTGCATCAGGGTCCTGGCAGAAAAAAAGATGGCACATGCATTTGGGTAATTTGAGAAATGCATTATAAAGGCAGAGCATAAGTAAACCACAAAGGACAGTAGAAAATACCCTGATGCTTATAAAAGCATCTTTAAAAGCTGTGTGGTGAGAATTGCCTGGCAGAAAATACAATAAAAAATAGAAAAAGCTAGAATGACCCTGGAGGGAGGCAACAGGGGGACTATATACCCTAACTTGCCTCTTATCTCCCGCTAATGTTGCTCATTGGACAAACCCAACCAGAAGTCTTTCTGGGCACAGAGTAGGATGCAGAAGCATGGCAAGTGCAATTGAAGAGGTAAATTGAACATATTCAGCACATATTCTAATCAGGTATTTCTCAGGCCTTTTTTGGGTATGTAACCTTCGAATATTACTTAAGTATTCTAGATATAAGAATTCTTAGATTTTAAATAAGAGCGCTTATGTTCTAAACTCTCATGATTCTCTGAAAAAAATGTTAGAATCAGTCTTGTCAAAATTGGCAAGGTTTTATATTACTTAATGGAATATATTTTAGTGTCATAACAATTTAAATATTTACTTTCCATTACTCTTAATTTTTAGATGCTCTTCAAAAAGAACTTTAGATATTTAATATTTTTCCTTCTATAGAGGAATTCTTTTGAACTTCATGTTATTCCTCTATAGAAATTCATCGTGTTTTATTTGTAAAAAATTACCACCTTTAAAAATACATAGCTATTCAACTGAATCTATTCCTTTATAATTTTATAGCCAAACATTCCAGCATAATTTGAATTTATTTTTAGAAACTTTTACTTCACTGAGGAAATTATTCAAAAAGAGTATGAATGGGTAGCTAATATTGACTAAGCACTTTGGGTAAAGTTGACTTTGAGTTAAACATTTTATATACATATTTCATTGAAACATACACAGTCATCATAATATATAAATATTACGATATGAATTAACAGAAAAGAAAATTGAGGAGGAGAGATATTACATTCTTGTCACATAGCAAGTGGTCAAACCAGGATTTGAGCACATGTCTATCTCATCCCAAAGCTGAAGTACTCCCTGAAATACACAGCATAATATTTCTGTTCTTCCCCTACTCTCATAATATTTATTATACAAAATGTGCCTATGTTTTGAGAAAATCACAAGAGCATCTGTATTATGGTTTGATCTCAAGTTTAATGTATAACTTCTGAAAGTATAAAATTATTATAAGGTCCTTCTTTATTAAGTAGTCTATGTTTATAACAATATATTTTTGGGATCCAAAATTACAAGCCAACACTCAAAGCAAAGTGCACAAAAGATGATGTTTACATTTCTGATTTGTACTGTTAGCGGTTCTCAGGGTTAGAGTTCCAGCTTGTTGGTCAAAAGGAAGACAAATGAGGCTAGTACTAAAATTTTAAGGGTGTTCTTTCCTATACAAAACAAAGTACAGTGGGTGGTGGGGAGCAGGGTGGAGGGTTGGGAGAGATTCTGTTTCCCATAATGGTAAAATAGTTTATTGTGGAAAAATTCTGCTATTGAAAAAAAGTATAAAACTGTGGGATGGGGAGGTGGGGGGAGCTGGGGGAATAATCTCTCCTACAGCATCAGAGAACTAGCAAGAGGGCCAGAATATGATGAAAAGGAAGTAAACTGAAATGAGCCCAACATTCTTTATCCCTTTCTTTTCAAAATTATTTGCCAACTACTGTCACTCAGAGTTGAGAGGCTAAAACATTGAACAAAAAAGAGGCACTTGGTAAGTAAGAAACTGAGTAGAAATTTTGACAGCCCCACAGGCTGGTGAGAAAAATATTGGTGATTAGGGAGTATCAAAGAGCAGAGGTCCTGGATAATTCTCAAGATGTACATTTAGGAACCGAGAAGTGTCATCACCTAAGAGTAAGGGTGAACTAGAAACACACAGTCTCTTACAAAAGACTAAAAAACAACTTCAAACCAACTCAGTCCTAAACTAAATGAAGGTCATCTATTTCTACACACACTGCCTGCTAAAGAGTAAAACTAGTTTTTTTTTTCTGAAGAAAAATTAAACTATCCAGAACCTCAGTTTATCCTTCATTTTTTAAAAAACACAAGAGCTAGAATGCAAAAGTAAAAACTAAAGCATGCTGACAATGGGGCAAATTACAAAAGGATAACACACACACACACACACATGCACACACACACACACCTACACTGGACCAACAGGTAACCCAGATGCTGTAATAACCACATATGAACTTTAAGATTAATATGTCTTAGAACATATATGACAAGATTGAAGCATATCTGACAAGATTCCAGTTTTATCAAGAAACTGGCCCATATAAAATAACATGTACTTGACATTCTAGAACTGGAGAAAAAGATAATAGTTTCAGATTAAATGAAGAATTTAATACATGTGTTTAGCAGCAAATTAAATATAGTGAAAGAGAAGATTTGTAAACTGGAAAATATATTATAGAAAATGTCCTTACTGAAGCATAGGGGATTAAAAAAAAAGATGGAAAATACATTTTTAAAAAGCTTAAGAGATATATTAGGCTATTTTTGCATTGCTATAAAGAAATACCTGAGACTGGGTAATTTATAATGAAAAGAGCTATAATTGGCTCATGAGTCTGCAGGCTTTACAGGAAACATGTTGCTGACATATGCTGGGCTTCTAGAAAGGCCTGAGGAAGCTTACAATAATGGCAGAAGGTGAAGAAGGAGCAGGTATGTCACATCACAAAAGTAAGAGCAAAAGAGGTGGAGAGTGCCACACACTTTTAAATGACCGGATGTTGTGTGAACTCAGGGTGAGAGTTCACTTATCACCAAAGGGATGGCCCAAGCCATTCATGAGGGATCTGCCACCATGATCCAAACATCTCCCACCAGACCCCACCTCTAGCACTGGTGATTACATCTCAACATGAGATTTAGACAGAGACTACTATCCAAACGATATCATTCTATCCCTGCCCCTCCCCGCAAATATCATGTCCTTCTCACATTGCAAAATACAATCGTGCCTTCCCAATAGTCACCCAAACTCTTAACTTAGTCTGGCATTAACTCCAAAACATAAAATCCAAGGTTTCATGTGTAACAAGGCAAGTTTCTTCCACCTATAAGCCTGAAAAATCAGGTGCAAGATATGTACTTCCAAGACACAATGTGGTATAGGCATTGGGTAAACATCCCATTCCCAAAGTGAGAAATTGGCCAGAAGAGAAGGGTTACAGGCCCCATGCAAGTTTTATGGCTGACCCAGCAGGGCAGTCATTAAATCTTAAAGCTCCTAAATAATCTGCTTAGGTTCCATGTACCACATCCAGAGCATACCAGTGTAAAGTGTGGGCTCCCAAGGCCTTGGGCAGCTGTGCCCCTGTGGCTTTGCAGGGGCACCCTGTAACCTGTGGCTGCTCTCACAGGTTGTTTAGTGCCTACAGCTTTTCCAGGAATAAGTGCATCCTCCCTTTGGATCTACCATTCTAATGTCTGGATGGTAGCAGTCCCCTTCATACAGCTCCACTAGGCAGTGCTCCATTGGGGACTCTTTGTGGGGGCTCCAATCCCACATGTCCCCTCCACATTGCTTTTTTAGAGTGTCTCTGTGGGGGCTTCTCCCCTGCAGCATGCTTCTGCCTGGACACCCAGACCTTTTCATACATCCTGTAAAATCTAGGCAGAGGCCGTTCCTTCACTTTTGCATTCTGTGTACCTGCAGATTTAACACCACATGGAAGCTGCTAAGGCTTATAGCTTGCACCCTCTGAAGCTGAAGTGGCAGTTCGAGCTGTACCTAGACCCCTTTAAGCCAAGGCTGGAGCCAGAGCAGCCAGAATGTGGAGAGCATTGTCCCAAGGCTGCAAAGGATAGCAGGGCCCTGGACCAGGGCAACAAAATCATTCTTCCCTACCTAGGCCTCTGGGCCTGTAATGGAAGGGGCTGCAGTGAAGGTCTCTGAAAGGCCTTCAAAGCCTTTTCCCATATTCTTGGATAAGAGGACTTGGTTCCTTTGTAGTTGTACAAATTTCTCTAACAAGTGGTTGCTTTATAGCCTGCTTGTATTCTTCTGAAAAAGCTTTTTCTTTCTTTGCACATGGCTAGGCTGCAACTTTTCCAAACCTTTCTCTCTGCTTCCTGTTTAAACATAAATTCTCACCTTAAGTCATTTCTTTCCTCTCACATCTAAGCTTAGGCTGTTAGAAGCAGCCAGCCACATCCTGAATGCTTTGCTGCTTAGATATATTTTCCACCAGGTACCCTTGGTCATCACTATCAACTGTAAACTTTCAAATATCCCTAGGCATGAACACAGTGCAGCCAACTCTTTGCTAAGGCATAACATATGTGACATTTGCTCCAGTTCCCAATAAGTTCCTCATTTCTATCTGAGATCTTGTCAGCCTGGATTTTACTGACAATGTTATTGTCAGCATTTTGATCACAATCATTTAACCAGTCTCTAAGAAATTCCAAACTTTTCCTCATCTTCCCATCTTCTTTCAAGCCCTCCAAAGTCTTTCAACTTTGGCATGTTACCAAGTTTCAAAGTTGCTTCCACATTTTCAGGCATCTTTGTAGCAAGGCCCCACTCCCAGTACCGTTTTTCTATATTAAGCCATTCTTGCATTGCTATAAAGAAATACATAAAGAAATACCTGAGACTGGGTAATTTATAATGAATAGAGGATTAATTGGCTCATGGTTCTGCAAGATTTTCAGGAAGCACGCTGCTGATATCTGCTCAGCTTCTAGGGAGGCCTCAGAAAGCTTACAATCATGGTGGAAAGTGAAGGGGGAGCAGGCACATCACATGGTAAAAGCAGGAGCAAGAGAGAGAAAGAAAGAAGGAATGGGGGAAGGTACCGCACTCTTTTAAATCATCTGATCTTACGTGAATGAACTCAGATGAGAGCTCACTTATCACCAAGGGGATGGCCCAAGCCATTCATGAGGGATCTGTCCCCATGATCCAAACACCTCTCACAAGACCCCACCTGGTGATTTTATTTTAACATGAGATTTGGACGGGGACAGATATTTAAACTATATCAAGAGACATGATGAAAGATAAAACTTTAGTATTTTAGGGGTTCCCAGAAGGAGAGGAAAGAGAATGAGCAGAAGTGATATTTGAAGACATAATGATAAATATTTTCCAAAACTGACAATAGACATCAAACCACAAATTTACGAATTTCTTCGAAAATGAAGCAGGGTAAATGTAAAGTACCATACTTTTGTATATCACAAAAGTATATACCAAACACAAGTTGTAGAAGTAAACAGGAAAAAAATGTGTATTATTTTCAAAAAAAGAATAAACAATAAGAGCAAAGCTGGTTTCTCAACAGAGATGAAAGAAAAAATAAGATAGTGAAATGACATCTTTGAAGTTCTGAGAGAAACTGCTAACCTAGAATTTTATGTGTAACAAAAGTAAAGGCAAAGTAATGTGAAGTCTTTTCCAGACTAACAACAATTTGATACTTTTCTTATTAGCAAATAAGCAGTAAACAGTAAAACGAAGTACCAAAGAAAGTAGTTAGGCAGAAGCAAAATGATTCCTTATGAAAACATAAGAATACAAAAATAAATTTGAATACACGGAAAGGATAAATATATGGAAAATCAAAATGAGTTGTTCTTAAAACATTAATACTACTTAAAGCATTAATACTAATTGTTTCTGGTGTTTAAATATATGTAGAATTTAAACAGAGGACTGTAATATACACAAGGAAGAAAGTAAAGCGAGAAATGTTTCCCAAAATACTGCCACTGTCATTTTCAGGAAAGAGATAAAAGTAGAATGTATATTGAATGTTTATAGGTATTCACTAAGAAATATTGAGCACATTATTAAGCCAATAAGGGTTAAAAATCATGATAAATATTGTTGGTTCAATTAAAAGAAAAGGCGAACAAGTTGGGGGACTTAGGAAACATTTGTAAGATGTTAGATTTAAACTTAAGCAGAAATCACATTTAAATGTAAATGCTCTAACAAATATAATTTAAAGATCACATTAAAAGATAATCAGAGCTAGCAAATTTGTGACTCTCATAAAGATATGAAAATACACACTTGTTAAACAGTTTAACTCATGAGTGAACTTGACATATGTTACAAATTAGTTCAAAAGAAAATCCAAAAAACAGACTCACTTATAAATCAGGAATGATGAAATGAATACGCAGATAGAGGCAAAAATTTTTCCTACAGGGTATGAAGGAAGACAATTGCATCTGCACCAAACCAAGTAGGGCATAATTTGCATGTCTATAAATTTACAGTTACAACATAGCCTAAAGGAGAAAGGCTAGAATCAGATAACCTGAAGAGGTGTCCGAATTAAAACATATTTTTTCTCCAATAAATATTTCTAGAATGGACATACAAATAAAATATAATTTAAGCTGTTTATAAGAGACACATCTTAAATATAAGGACACCTAAAAGTTGAAAGTAAAAGGATGGCAAAATGTATTCCCTATAAAAACTAATGAAAAAAGCCAGTAAAGTCAAATTAATATAGAAAAAAGCAGATTTCTAGGATAAACAACATTATTCATGACAAAGAACACCTTTCACAATGACAAAGGGGTCTGTTTATCAGGATATATTATATAAAAATTATAATTTTAATGCATCTAATATTACCTTCTCTTCAAATTATATAGAAAGAATTACGAGATTTGAGTAAGTAGACAAAACTACGGGCAGTAATAAAAGATTCTGAATACAAATCTTTCAGTAACTTATATAAGAGACAAAGTCATTCAGAATATAGAAGATTTGAATAACAGTTTGACAAATATATGTGCTCATGCGCACACACACACACACACACAGTACATAATATTTCACCCTAAGGTAAAAAAGAGTGGAAATATAACATATTGCAATGTCTCAACAAATTCTAAAACAAAACCAGAAAAAAACTCATACAGAGTTAATTAATCAAATTGGGAGTAAGTTTGGAATCAATTGCAAAGAGACAACATGAAAATTCCTAGATATTTGGAAATTAAATAACACACATCTAAATAACCCAGGAGTAAAAAAAAAATGTAATTATAACAGAAATTAGAAAATATTTTGAGTTAAGTGGTAATAAAAATAAGACGTATGTCAAAATAATGTTACCCAGATAGAGCAGTGCTTAGAGGAAAACATGTAGAATGTTCTAAGTTGGTTTCTTCCAGAAGTGCTCCTTAATTCAACAATGTATTGAGAAATGCTTCAGAAAGAAAGAAGTACAATATTGGAGAGAGCAGTTGGTGAAGTGTGAAAGTACAAAAAATATGGGATTTTACCTAAAGGTTCAGCTACAGTTTGATCCCATGGAGCGCTCTAGAACTAAAATTGCATCTCAATTTGAGTTCCATCTTGAGGCAAGAGAGCTGGCTTATGGAACTCTGAATAAGTCAGTAATTGACTATGGTCTGTTCCCGGGAGATGGAAATGTTCAGGTACTTCAAGCTCTTTCTAAATAATCAAGGCCATTCAAGTATTCCCAAGACAATTCTCTGAAAAAGTCTCAACTACAAGCCAGAAGCTGTAGGATGGGCCAAAGACACTGTAAAACAAGTATTTGGGGGAATCCGTGTGCCATACTGGTGGGATTTAAGCTTCCAATCACTTACAGATTTTCATATTGGTGACGCAGTTTTAGTGCCCTGTGGGTAATTCTCTGAAGAAGTTTGAAGTTGCTCACTGTTAGTAGCAAAGAACACAGGAACAGGGAATTGAGCACATAGCATGGTAAAAGGGATACAAGGGAATTTACACAAGCCTTCAAAGGTGTTCACTTGGTAGTGTTAGGCTGAAAATCAGTCTCTAAGATTCTGTCTCAAGAAGTCATAAAAATAACAGTAAATTAAATGCAAAGAAGTAGAAAGCAGAAAATAATAAATATGAGTAGAAATTAATGACTCAGAGGTAAGCACAAAATAGAGAAAACCAACAATATCAAAAGTTGCTTCTTTGAAAATATTAATTACTGTAGTAAAATCTGTCAAGAAATTAAAGGAAATACAAATTTCTCAAATCAGAAATTTTAGAAAAGGTGAATATCACTACAGATCTTACAGGTAATAGAAAGATCAATGAAAAAATATATGCTATCAATATGAACATTTATAAAAATATACAAACTTTTAAAAAATCTTAATATGGAGACAAGACAAAATAGGCAATATGAAGCATTTATGGCAAATTAAATAATTGAATCTATATTTGATTCAATATTGAAAACCTTTCCACAAAGAAATTATAAATCCAGATGTTTTTACTGATGAATTCTACAATGTATGTATAAAGTAAATTGCACTAACATTTAAAACTCTTCCAGAGAATAGAAAATTATTTTATAATACAGCAAAATCTTGATCCCAAAAAATGACAAGGACTTTACAAAAAAAAGAGAAAATTACAGATCAACCTCTCTTATTAATCTAGCTGCAAAAGTATTTAAATATAATTAGCAATCCAAATTAATAAAATATGGAAGGATACTACATTAAGACTAAATTGGATTTATTTCAGAAATGTAAGGAAGTTTTAATACTCAACAATGTAACTTACAAAACTAACAATAAGAGAGTAAAAACCACATTATCATTTCAATACATGCAAAAAACACATTTGAGAAAAGTTAAAACATTTTAATGATAAAACTAGGAATAGAAGAAACTATCTTAAACTGAAAGATAAAATCCTACCAAACAACATACTGAATAGTGAAATACCTAGTTTTCCCTTAGAGAATAGAAATAAGACTATAATGTCTGCTTTTGTACCTCTAATACTCGATAATGAACAGAATTCAATATTGTATTCTTGCCTAGCAAGGAGCAGCAATGACGCAGCAAAACAGAATAAAAAGAATTAAAATTCTACTTCTAAAAAATGTATGAAACAACACTTTTCAGATAATGATTATTGGTCAATGGAATACAATGATTCTGAGAAAGGGGAAACAAACAAGATAATTCCTGTAATTGCCCCAGTTTGTGGCCATAAGAATATAGGGAAGGATAACCTAGGTGTCTCCCTGAGTTGAGGGGATTGAACCAGGAGTTCTCTCTGCATTAGAACCCAGCAGCCTCCCTGAATAGAGGAGACAGAAGAAGAAGTTCAGGGAGGGCATGGTGGTACAGTTTGAAAGGCAGAGATATGGAGAGTAGACAGCTGCAAAAAAATCTTCAGAAATCTGCAATGTGTTCCTTTAAGTATTCAGGTGAGTTACGTATGAGCATATGTGGCTAAGAAACTATCTGATTCTGGGATAAGAACCACTAAAAAGAAAGGCCGGGCGTGGTGGCTCATGCCTGTAATCCCAGCACTTTGGGAGGCCGAGGAGGGTGGATCACGAGGTCATGAGATCGAGACCATCCTGGCTAACGCGGTGAAACCCCGTCTCTACTAAAAATACAAAAAAAAAAAAAAAAAAAAAAAATTAGCCGGGCATGGTGGCGGACACCTGTAGTCCCAGCTACTCCGGAGGCTGAGGCAGGAGAGTGGCATAAACCCAGGAGGCGGAGCTTGCAGTGAGCCGAGACCGCGCCACTGCACTCCAGCCTGGGAGACAGAGCGAGACTCCGTCTAAAAAAAAAAAAGAAAAAGAAAAAGAAAAAGAAAAGGAAAGAAATGAAACATAGAGAACAAAGAACAACACTTGGCACTCACACCAGTCCAGGAATAGTTCCTGTTCCTACCAGTAAACACTGGATAGAATAATCAGCATGGTGGTTTCATCTCAGTAGTAAAGAGAAAACCCTAAAATAAAGACTGATTTGTTCCTGCCTATTGAAGCCTACAGGCAACTCTAAAAAAGATCAAACTATTTCCAAACAAATTAACCGTGTCTCAGAATGTAGCCCAAGGCAATTTATAAAAACACAAGAAGTTTTCAGAACTCAAAAGGTAGAATTAACAATGTCTGCCAATCAATCAAAAATTACCAAGAAAGAATCAGAAAAATACAATTTAAATGTGTTGAACAATCGATCAGTTAAAACATGTAGAAAAGACATGAATCATGGTTAGTAAACATGGACATTAAAACAATTTTTAGAACTATATTCCATATATTTAAGATGGTAAAGATTGAGCATGCTTAATAAACACATAGAATATATAATAGACACCCCATCTAGAGATGGAAGCTAAAAGTTCTGGGATGAGAAAGGCACTGGATGAGATTAGCTGCAGACAATGTAGAAGAAAAGATTAGTTAAGTTGAAGAATAGCAACAGAAAGTAGAAGTAATGATACAGAGAGGTAAAAGGGTAAGAAAACTGAAAAAAAGCATTAGGATATGTGAGACATCTTCAAGTAGCCTTGGTGTAATTAGAAACTCTGGATAAGAGTGATGGTTTCAACACCCTTTTTTTCTCTGTCACCTCCAGAGAAATAAGGTGACAAAGAAAATGTTGAAGAAATAATGAAAGATTGACCAAATTTGATGAAAATTATCAGCCCGTAGTTTAAGAATCTCAAAAACCTCAAGCACAAGAGAGAAGAAAACTATACCATAACTTATCATAATCAAATTAAGTGATAGAAAAATCTCAAATGTATCTAGAAAAAGAGGCCATATTACAAAGAAAGACAAAGATCAAAGTTTCAATACAATTCTTGTCAGCAACAATTCAAGCCATAAGAGAGTGAAGCAATGTATTAAAAGTACTTAAAACAGTCATTTTTGAATTCTACAAGGAAAATGCCTTTCAAAAAAGTAGGCAAAATAAGAATTTTTAGAAACACAGAAAGCTAAAACAGTTACCAGAAGACCTTCACTACAGAAAATGGTATTGAAAATCTTTTAGGTAGAAGTAAAATGATATCAGATAGAATTTTGCATTTTCCTGTAATCCCTATGTTTTGGGAGGCTAAGGTTGAAGGATGACTTGAGGCCAGGAGTTCCTAGGCCATCCTAGGCAACATAGTGAGACCTTGTGTTTCCAAGAAAAAAAAAAAAAAGTAGCTTGGTGTGATGGCATACACCTGTAGTCGCAGCTACTTGGGAGGCTGAGGCAGGAGGATTGCTTGAGCTCAGGAGTTTGAAGCTATAGTGAGATCTCATTGCACTTCAGCCTGTATGACAGAGCAAGAACCTGTCTCAAAGAAAGAAGAACAACAACAACAAAAAGGAATCTACATCTATACAAATGAATTAATAGCACCAGAATTTGTAAATATATAGGTAAATAATGAAGATCATTTTCTTAGTTAAAAAAACTCTTAAGATCATAGACTGTTTAAAGGAACAAAAATGTATTGTGAAGTTTACAGCATTGAGGAAACAAAATGTATGACAAGACTAGTACAAAGGCGGGGAGGGGAAAACGAAGTATACTTTTGTAAGCTGTATACCATATGTGAATTGGTATAATATTATTTGAAGGTGAGACATGATAAGTTAACGATGTATACTATTAGCCTTAAATCATTTGCCAAAATAACAGAGCGTTGCAGCTAATAATCCAAAAAATGAGAAAAAATGGAGGCATAAAACTACGGAAATTGAAAGTAGACAGAAATAGAAGTAAAAAAAAATAATATATTGGACAAATAGTAAACAAAGAATATAGTACACTTAAACCAATATCTATAACTACATTAAATGTAAATGTCCTGAATAATTAAAGGCAGAGATTGCCACATTGGATTTAAAAATATCATGAAACGCAACAACTGTATACTGCCTACAAGAAACCACTTTAAATATATGCCAATCAAAAGAAGCCTACATTGCCTATATCAGGATTAGATAAAGTGGATTACCAAGTAAATGATATTTTCAGAAATAATAACTAACATTTTTTAGTTAATGATATTTTCAAGAATAATAAGTGACATAATGAGGTTAATTCATCTATAGGACGTAATCCTAAAATGTTTATGTATTTAATAAGAGAGATTCAAAATATATAAAGCAAAAATGTATAGAACTAAATGAGAAATAGACAAATTTACAAATAGTTGTATATTTCAATAATGCTCTCTCAATAACTGATAGAACATATGGAAAATCAGTAAGTGTATGAAAGACTTGAAGAACACTATCAAGCAAGTTGGCTTAAAATTTATCAAACATTCCACACAACAACAGCATAATACACAATGTAAGTGGTATAACCACTGAAGAAAACAATGTGGCAGTTTCTTAAAGCTTTAAACATATAACAGCCATATAACCTAGCTATTTAACTGCTAGGTATTTAGTCAAGAGAAATGAAAGTATATATCCACACAAAGGCTTGTTGTATTCGGGTTCTCTTGAGGGACAGGATTAATAGGATAGATGTATAAATGAAAGGGAGTTTATTATGGAGTATTGACTCACAGGATCACCAGGTAAAGTCCCACAATAGGCCATCTGCAAGCTAAAGAGCAAGGAAGTCAGTGTGAGTCCCATAACCTCAAAAGTAGGGAAGCCAGCAATGCTGCCTTCAGTCTATGGCTGAAGGCTTGAGAGCCCCTGGCAAACCACTGGTGTAGGTCCAAGAGTTCAAAAGCTGAAGAATTTAGAGTCCGATCTTTGAGGGCAAGAAGCATCTAGCACGAGAGAATGATGGAGGCCAAAAGACTCAGGCAGTCTAGTCCTTCCATGTTCTTCTGCCTGCTTTATTCTAGACATGCTGGCAGCTGATTAGATTGTGCCCACCCAGATTGGGGG